>NC_000003.12:90370068-90550102 GCF_000001405.40 Homo sapiens | reverse complement strand
AATGGTAGAAAAGGCAATATCTTCATAGAAAAACCAGACAGAATGATTCTCAGAAACTACTTTGTGATGTGTGTATTCAACTCACAGAGTTTAACTTTGCTTTCGATAGAGGAATACTGAAACACTCTTTTTGTAGAATCTGTAAGTGGATATTTGGACCTCTATGTGGCCTTCATTTGAAACGTGATTTCTTCATGTAAAACAAGACAGAAGAATTCACAGAAACTTCTTTCTTTGTTACGTGTGCTTTCAACTCACAGAGCTGAAACTTCCTTTCGATACAGCAGTTATGAAACTCTCTTTTAGTGGGGTATCCAAGTGGATATTTAGCCCCTTTTGAGGCCTATGGTAGAAAAGGCAATAWCTTCACAGAAAAACAAGAGAGAATGATTCTCAGAAACTTATTTGTGATGTGTGCATTCAAACGCACAAAGTTTACCCTTTCCTTTATAGAAGCAGTATTGAAAACACTCTTTTTGTACAATCTGCAGGTGAATAATTGGACTTTTTTGAGGCCATCATTGGAAACGGCATTTCTTCATATAGGACTTGTCAGAAGAATTCTCAGACACTTCTTTGTGATGTGTGCATTCATCTCACAGAGTTTAACCTTTCTTTTCATAGAGCAGATTTGAAACACTCTTTTTGTGGAATTTGCAAGTGTATATTTAGAGCGCTTTGTGGCCTACTGTAGAAAAGGTAATATCTTCACATAAAAACAAGACAGAAGCATTGTCAGAAACTACTTTGTGATATTTGCATTCAACTCACAGAGTTGAACATTCCTCTTGATAGAGCAGTTTGAAACACTCTTTTTGTAGAAAATACAAGTGGATATTTGGACCTGTTTGTGGCCTTCCTTTGAAAAGTGATTTCTTCATATAAAACTAGACAGAAGAATTGTGAGGAACTTTTTTGTGATGTGTGCTTTCAACTCACAGAGTTGAACCTTCCTTTCGATAGAGCAGTTTTGAAATACTCTTTTTTTAGAATTTCCAAGTGGATATCTAGAGCCGTTTGAGGCGTACAGTAGAAAAGGATATATCTGCGAAGAAAAATTAGTCAGAATCATTCTCAGAAACTACTTTGTGATGTGTGCATTCAGCTCACAGAGTTGAACCTTTCTTTTTTAGAGCAGTTTTGGAACACTCTGTTTGTGGAAATTGCAAGTGTATATTTAGAGCGATTTGAGGCCTACGATAGAAAAGGAAATATCTTTACATAAAAACTAGACAGAATCTTTGTCAGAAACTACTTTGTGATATTAGCATTCAACTCACAGAGTTGAACATTCTTCTTCATGGAGCAGATTTTAAACACTCTTTTTGTAGAATCTGCAAGTGGATATTTGTACCACCTTGTGGCGTACTTTTGAAACGTGGTTTCTTCATATAAAAATAGACAGAAGAATTCTGAGGAACATATTTGTGATGTGTGCTTTCAACTCAAAGGGTTGAAACTTCCTTTCGATGGAGCAGTTTTCACACTCTCTTTTTTTTTAGGATTTCCCAGTGTATATTTGGCACCGTTTGAGGCCTATGGTAGAGAAGGCAATATCTTCATAAAAAAATTGGACAGAATGATTCTCAGAAACTACTTTTTGATGTCTGCGTTCAATTCAGAGAATTTAACCTTTCTTTTGATAGAGCAGTTTTGAAACACACTTTTTGTAGCATCTGCAAGGGAATATTTGGACTTTTTTACGGCCTTAGTTGGAAACGGGATTTCTTCATATAAAACTTGACAAAAGAATTCGCAGACACTTCTTTGTGATGTGCGCATTGAACTCACAGAGTTGAACCTTCCTTTCCATAGAGCAGTTTTGAAGTACTGTTTTTGTAGAATTTCCAAGTGGATATTATTTAGAGCGGTTTGAGGCGTATGGTAGAAAAGGAAATATCTTCATTGAAATCTAGACAGAATCATTCTCAGAAACTACTTTGTGATGGGCGCATTCAGCTTACAGAGTTTAACCTTTCTTTTCATAGAACAGTTTTGAAACACTCTTTTTGTGGAAATTGCAAGTGTATATTTTGAGTGCTTTGAGGCCTACGGTGGAAAAGGAAATATCTTCACATAAAAACTAGACAGAAGCATTGTCAGAAACTACTATGTGATATTTGCATTCAACTCACAGAGTTGAACATTCCTCTTGATAGAGCAGTTTTGAAACACTCTTTTTGTAGAATCTACAAGGGGATTTTGGGACCTCCTTGTGGCCTTCTTTTGAAAAGTGATTTCTTCATATAAAACTAGACAGAAGAATTCTCAGAAACTTCTTTGTGAGGTGTGCGTCCAAATCAAAAGGGTTTAACCTTTCTGTTGATAGAGCAGTTTTGAAACAATCTTTTTGTAGAATCTGCAAGTGAATATTTGGACTTTTTTGAGGCCTTCTTTGGAAATGGGATTTCTTCATATAAGACTTGTCAGAAGAATTCTCAGAAACTTCTTTGTGATGTGTGCATTCAACACACAGAGTCGAAACTTCCTTTCGATAGAGCACTTTTGAAATAATCTTTTTGTAGAATTTCCAAGTGGATATTTTGAGTGGTTTGAGGCCAATGATTGAAAAGGGAATATTTTCATTAAAAAACTAGACAGAATCATTCTCAGAAACTACTTTGTGATGGGTGCATTCAGCTTACAATGTTTAACCATTCCTTTGACAGAGCAGTTTTGAAACACTCTTTTTGTGATATTTGGAAGTGTACATTCAGAGGGCTTTGAGGCCTACGGTAGAAAAGGAAATAACTTCACATAAAAATTAGACAGAAGCATTGTCAGAAACTAATTCGCAATATTTGCATTCAACTCACAGTGTTGAACATTGCTCTTCATAGAGCAGTTTTGAAACTCTTTTTTTGTAGAATATGCAAGTGGATATTTGGACCTTTTTGTGGCCTTCGTTTGAAAAGTTATTTCTGCATATAAAACTAGAAAGAATAGTTCTCAGAAATTCTTTGTGATGTGTGCTTTCAACTCACCGAGTTGTACTTTCCTTTGTATGGAGCAGTTCTGAAACACTATTTTTGTATAATTTCCTAGTGGATATTTAGCACCGTTAGAGGCCAATTTTAGAAAAGGCAATATCTTCATAGGAAAACTAGAGAGAATGATTCTCTGAAACTACTTTGTGATGTGTGCGTTCAATTCACAGAGTTTAATCTTTCTTTTGATAGAGCAGTTTTGAAACACACTATTTGTAGAATCTGCAAGTTAATATTTGGACTTGTTGAGGTCTGCGTTGGAAATGGAATTCCTTCAAATAAAACTGGACAGAAGAATTCTCAGAAACATCTTTGTCATGTGTGCATTCAACTCACAGAGTTAAAACTTCCTTTCGATAGAGCAGTTTTGAAACACTCTTTTTTTAGAATTTCCAGGTGGATATTTACAGCAGTTTGAGGCTGTGGTAGAAAAGGAAATATCTTCATAGAAAAACTGGACAGAATCATTTTCAGAAATTACTTTGTGATGTGTGCATTAACCTTACAAATGTTAACGTTTCTTTTAATAGAGCAGTTTTGAAACATTATTTTGTGGAATATCCAAGTGTACATTTAGACTGCTTTGAAGTCTACGGTAGAAAAGGAAATATTTTCAAATAGATACTTGACAGAAGCATTGTCGGAAACTATTTTGTGATATTTGCATTCAACACACAGAATTGAGCATTCCTCTTGAGAGAGCAGTTTCGCAACACTCTTTTTATAGAATCTGCTGGTGGATATTTGGACCTCTTTGTGGCCTTCGTTTGAAACGTGACTTCTTCATTTAAAACTAGACAGAAGAGTTCTCAGAAACTTCTTTGTGACGTGTGCTTTCAACTCACAGAGTTGAACCTTCCTTTCATAGAGCAGTTTTGAAACTCTCTTATTGCAGAATTTCCAAGTGGTTAATCAGCGCCATTTGAGGCCTAAGGTAGAAAAGGCAATACATTCATAGAAAAACTAGGCAGAATATTTCTCAGAAAGTACAATATGATGTGTGTGTTCAACTCAAAGAGTGTAACTTTTCTTTTGATAGAGCAGATTTGAAACAATCTTTTTGGAGAATTTGCAAGTGAATATTTGGACTTTTTTGAGGTCTTCGTTGAAAACGGGATTTCTTCATATGAAACTTGACAGAAGAATTCTCAGAAACTTCTTTGTGATGGCTGTATTCAAGTCACAGTGTTGGACCTTCCGTTCGGTAGAGCAGTTTTGAAATGCTCTTTTTGTAGAATTTCAAAGTGTATATACAGAGCGGTCTGAAGCCTGTGTAGAAAAGGAAATATCTTCATAGAAAAAATTAACAGAATCACTCTCAGAAACTACTTTGTGATGTGTGCATTCAGCTTCCAGAGTTTAACCTTTCTTTTGATAGAGCAGTTTTGAAACACGCTTTTTGTGGAATTTGCAAGTGTATATTTAGAGCGCTTTGAGGCTTACGGTAGAAAAGGAAATACCTTCACATAAAAACAAGACAGAAGCATTGTTAGAAACTACTTTGTGATATTTGCATTCAAGTCACAGAGTTGAACATTCCTCTTCATAGAGCAGTTTTGAAACACTCTTTTTTTTTTTTATTATACTTTAAGTTTTAGGGTACATGTGCGTATTGTGCAGGTTAGTTACATATGTATACATGTGCCATGCTGGTGCACTGCACCCACTAACTGGTCATCTAGCATTAGGTATATCTCCCAATGCTATCCCTCCCCCCTCCCCCCACCCCACCACAGACCCCAGAGTGTGATATTCCCCTTTCTGTGTCCATGTGATATCATTGTTCAATTCCCACCTATGAGTGAGAATATGCAGTGTTTGGTTTTTTGTTCTTGCGATAGTTTACTGAGAATGATGATTTCCAATTTCATCCATGTCCCTACAAAGGACATGAACTCATCATTTTTTATGGCTGCATAGTATTCCATGGTGTATATGTGCCACATTTTCTTAATCCAGTCTATCATTGTTGGACATTTCGGTTGGTTCCAAGTCTTTGCTATTGTGAATAATGCCGCAATAAACATACGTGTGCATGTGTCTTTACAGTAGCATGATTTATAGTCCTTTGTGTATATACCCAGTAATGGTATGGCTGGGTCAAATGGTATTTCTAGTTCTAGATCCCTGAGGAATCGCCACACTGACTTCCACAATGGATGAACTAGTTTACAGTCCCACCAACAGTGTAAAAGTGTTCCTATTTCTCCACATCCTCTCCAGCACCTGTTGTTTCCTGACTTTTTAATGATTGTCATTCTAACTGGTGTGAGGTGATATTTCATAGTGGTTTTGATTTGCATTTCTCTGATGGCCAGTGATGATGAGCATTTTTTCATGTGTTTTCTGGCTGCATAAATGTCTTGTTTTGAGAAGCGTCTGTTCATGTCCTTCGCCCACTTTTTGCTGGGGTTTTTTGTTTTTTTCTTGCAAAAATCCTCAATAAAATACTGGCAAACTGAATCCAGCAGCACATCAAAAAGCTTATCCACCATGATCAAGTGGGCTTCATCCCTGGGATGCAAGGCTGGTTCAATATACACAAATCCATAAATGTAATCCAGCATATAAACAGAGCCAAAGAGAAAAACCACATGATTATCTCAATAGATGATGCAGAAAAAGCCTTTGACAAAATTCAACAAACCTTCATGCTAAAAACTCTCAATAAATTAGGTATTGATGGGACGTATTTCAAAATAATAAGAGCTATCTATGACAAACCCACAGCCAATATCATACTGAATGGGCAAAAACTGGAAGCATTCCCTTTGAAAACTGGCACAAGACAGGGATGCCCTCTCTCACCACTCCTATTCAACATAGTGTTGGAAGTTCTGGCCAGGGCAATTAGACAGGAGAAGGAAATAAAGGGTATTCAATTAGGAAAAGAGGAAGTCAAATTGTCCCTGTTTGCAGATGACATGATTCTATATCTGGAAAACCCCATTGTCTCAGCCCAAAATCTCCTTAAGCTGATAAGCAACTTCAGCAAAGTCTCAGGATACAAAATCAATGTACAAAAATCACAAGCATTCTTATACACCAACAACAGACAAACAGAGAGCCAAATCATGAGTGAACTCCCATTCACAATTGCTTCAAAGAGAATAAAATACCCAGGAATCCAACTTACAAGGGATGTGAAGGACCTCTTCAAGGAGAACTACAAACCACTGCTCAAGGAAATAAAAGAGGATACAAATAAATGGAAGAACATTCCATGCTCATGGGTAGGAAGAATCAATATCGTGAAAATGGCCATACCGCCCAAGGTAATTTACAGATTCAATGCCATCCCCATCAAGCTACCAATGACTTTCTTCACAGAATTGGAAAAAACTACTTTAAAGTTCATATGGAACCAAAAAAGAGCCCGCATCACCAAGTCAATCCTAAGCCAAAAGAACAAAGCTGGAGGCATCACACTACCTGACTTCAAACTATACTACAAGGCTACAGTAACCAAAACAGCATGGTACTGGTACCAAAACAGAGATATAGATCAATGGAACAGAACAGAGCCCTCAGAAATAACGCCGCATAACTACAACTATCTGATCTTTGACAAACCTGAGAAAAACAAGCAATGGGGAAAGGATTCCCTATTTAATAAATGGTGCTGGGAAAACTGGCTAGCCATATGTAGGAAGCTGAAACTGGATCCCTCCCTTACACCTCATAGAAAAATCAATTCAAGATGGATTAAAGATTTAAACGTTAGACCTAAAACCATAAAAACCCTAGAAGAAAACCTAGGCATTACCATTCAGGACATAGGCATGGGCAAGGACTTCATGTCTAAAACACCAAAAGCAATGGCAACAAAAGACAAAATTGACAAATGGGATCTAATTAAACGAAAGAGCTTCTGCACAGCAAAAGAAACTACCATCAGAGTGAACAGGCAACCTACAACATGGGAGAAAATTTTCGCAACCTACTCATCTGACAAAGGGCTAATATCCAGAATCTACAATGAAACACTCTTTTTGCAGAATCTGCAAGTGGATATTTGGACCTCTTTGTGGCCTTCGTTTGAAACCTGATTTCTTCATATAAATCTAGACAGAAGAATTCTCAGAAACTCCTTTGTGATGTATGCTTTGAACTCACAGAGTTCAACCTTCCTTTCAATAGAGCAGTTATGAAACTCTCTTTTTGTTGAATTTCCAATTGGATATTAAGCACTGTTTGAGGCCTATGGTAGAAATGGCAATATCTTCATAGAAAAACTAGACAGAATGATTCTCAGAAACTACTTTGTGGTGTGTACGTTCAGCTCACAGAGTTTAACCTTTCTTTTGTTAGAGCAGTTTTGAAACACTCTTTTTGTGGAATTTGCAAGTGTATATTTAGAGCGCTTTGAGGCCTACGGTAGAAAAGGAAATATCTTCACATAAAAACTAGACAGAAGCATTGTCAGAAACTACTTTGTGATATTTGCATTCAATTCACAGAGTTGAAGTTTCCTCTTGATAGAGCAGTTTTGAAACACTCTTTTTGCAGAATCCGAAAGTGGATATTTGGACCTCTTTGTGGCCTTCGTTTGAAACGTGATTTCTTTACATAAAACTAGACAGAAGAATTATCAGAAACTTCTTCTTTGTGATGTGTGCTTTCAAATCACAGAGATGAACTTTCCTTTCGATAGAGCAGTTTTGAAACTTTGTTTTTGTAGAATTTCCAAGTGGATATTTAGCACCGTTTGAGGCCTATGGTAGAAAAGGCAATATCTTCATAGAAAAACTAGACAGAAGTATTGTCAGAAACTACTGTGTGATATTTGCATTCAACTCACAGAGTTGAACATTCCTCTTGATAGAGCAGTTTTGAAACACTCTTTTTGTAGATTCTGCAAGTGGAATATTGGACCTCTTTGTGGCCATCGTTTGAATCATGATTTCTTCATATAAAACTAGACGGAAGATTTATCAGAAACTTCTTTGAGTTGTGTGCTTTCAACTCACAGAGTTGAACCTTCCTTCGGTACAGCAGTTTTGAAACTCAATTTTTGTAGAATTTCCTAGTGGATATTTAGCGCCGTTTAAGGCCATTGATAGAAAAGGAAATAATTTCACAGAAAAACCAGACAGAATGATTCTCAGAAACTACTTTCTGGTGTGTGCCTTCAACTCAAAGCGTGTAACTTTTCTTTTGATAGAGCACTTTTGAAACACTATTTCTGTAGAATCTGCAAAGGAATGTTTGGACTTTCTTGAGGCCTTCGTTGGAAAGGGATTTCTTCATAGAAAAGTTGACAGAAGAATTCTCAGAAACTTCTTTGTGATTTGTGCATTCAACTCACAAACTTGAACTTCCTTTTGATACAGCAGTTTTTAAATACTCATTTTGTAGAATTTCCAAATGTATATAGAGCCGTCTGAGGCCTGTGGTAGAAAAGGAAATATCTTCATAGAAAAAGTAGAGAGAATCATTCTCAGAAACTACTTTGTGATGTGTGTATTCAGCTTACAGAGTTTAACCTTTCTTTTGATAGAGCGGTATTGAAATACTCTTTCTGTGGAATTTGGAATTGTATACTTAGAGCGCTTTGAGGCCTATGGTAGAAAAGGAAATATCTTCACATAAAAACTAGACAGAAGCTTTGTCGGAAACTACTTTGTGATATTTGCATTCAACTCACAGAGTTGTACGTTCTTCTTGATAGAGCAGTTTTAAAACACTCTTTTTGTAGAATCTGCAAGTGGATATTTGGACCTCTTTGTGGCCTTCCTTGGAAATGTGATTTCATCATATAAAACTAGGCAGAAGAATTATCAGAAACTTCTTTGTGATGTGTGCTTTCAACTCACAGGGTTGAACCTTCCTTTCGATAGAACAGTTTTGTAACTCCCATTTTCCAGAATTTCCAAGTGGATATATAGCACTGTTTGAGGCCTATGATAGAAAAGGAAATATCTTCATTGAAAAACTAGACAGAATAATTCTCAGAAACTACGTTGTGGTGTATGCTTTCAACTCACAAAGTTTAACTTTCTTTTGATAGAACAGTTTTGAAACACTCTTTTTGTATAATCTACAAGTGGATATTTGGACTTTTTAGAGGCCTTCGTTGGAAACGGGATTTCTTCATATAAAAGTTCACAGAAGAATTCTGAGACACTTCTTTGTGATGTGTGCATTCAACTCACAGAGTTGAACCTTCCTTTCGATAGAGCAGTTTTGAAATACTCGTTTTGTAGAATTTCCAAGTGGATATTTAGAGCGGTTTGAGGCCTATGGTGGAAAAGGAAATATCTTCATAGAAAAACTAGACAGAATCATTCTCCGAAACTTCTTTGGGATGTGTGCATTCAGCTTACAGAGTTTAACCTTTCTTTTAATAGAGCAGTTTTGAAACACTCTTTTTGTAGAATTTGCGATTGTATATTTAGAGCGTTTTGATGCCTATGGTAGGAAAGGAAAAATCTTCACATAAAAAAATAGATGGAAGCATTGTCAGAAACTAATTTGTGATATTTGCATTCAACTCACAGAGTTGAACATTCCTCTTGATGGAGCAGTTTTGAAACACTCTTTTTGTAGAATATGTAAGTGGATATTAGGACCTCTTAGTGGCCTTCTTTTGAAACGTTATTTCTGCAGTTGCAACTAGACAGAAGAGTTTTCAGAAACTACTTCGTGATGTGTGCTTTCACCTCACAGAGTTGAAGCTTCCTTTCAATAGGGCAGTTTTTAAACTCTCTTTTTGTAGAATTTCCAAGAGTTTATTAAGCGCCTTTTGAAGCCTATGGTAGAAAAGGCAATATCTTCATAGAAAAACTAGACAGAATGATTCTCAGAAACTACTTTGTGATGTTTGCGCTCAAGCCACAGAGTTTAAACTTTGTTTTGATAGAGGAGTTTTGAAACACTCTTTTGTAGAATCTGCAAGTGAATATTTGGACTTTTTTGAGGCCTTCTTTGGAAACGGGATTTCTTCGTATAAAACGTGACAGAAGAATTCTCAGAAACTTCTTTGTGATGTATGAATTCAACTCACAGAGTTGAACATTCCTTTCAATAGAGCTGTTTTGAAATACTATTTTGTAGAATTTCCAAGTGGATATTTGGACCACTTTGTGGCCTTCCTTTGAAACATGATTTCTTAATACAAAACAAGACGGAAGAATTCTCAGAAACTATTTTGTGATGTTTGCTTTCAACTCACAGAGTTGAAGCTTCCTTTCGATAGAGCAGTTTTGAAATTCACTTTCTGTAGAATTTCCAAGTGGATATTTAGCACTGTTTGAGGCCTATTGTAGAAAAGGCAATGTCTTCAGAGAAAAACTGGACAGAATGGTTCTCAGAAACTACTTTGTGATGTTTCCTTTCAACTCACAGAGTTTAACCTTTCTTTTGCTAGAGCAGTTTTGAAATACTCTTTTTGTAGGATCTGCAAGTGAATATTTGGCCTTTTTTGAGGCATTCTTTGGAAACGAGATTTCTTCATATAAAACTTGAAAAAAGAATTCTAAGAAAATTCTCTGTGATGTGTGCATTTAACTCTCAGAGTTGAACATTCCTTTCGATAGAGCAGTTTTGATAGAATCTTTTTGTAAAATTTCCAAGTAGATATTTAGATCGGTTTGATGCCTACGGTAGAAAAGTAAATATCTTCATAAAAAAAATAGACAGAATCATCCTCGGAAACTAATTTGTGATGTGGGCATTCAGCTAACAGAGTTTATCCAATGTTTTTATAGAGCAGTTTTGAAACACTCCTTTTTCTAATTTGCAACTGTATATTTAGAGTGTTTTGAGGCTTACGGTAGGAAAGGAAAAATCTTTACATAAAAACTAGACAGAAGCATTATCAGAAACTACTTTGTGATATTTGCATTCAACTCAGAGAGTTGAACATTACACTTGATGGAGCAGTTTTGAAACACTGTTTTGTTGAATCTTCAAGTGGATATATGGGCCTCTTTGTGGCCTTCCTTTGAAACGTGATTTCTTCATTTACAACTCGACAGAACAATTCTCAGAAACTTCTCAGTGGTGTGTGCTTTCTACTCACAGATTTGAAGCTTCCATTCTTCAGAGCAGTTTTGAAACTCTCTTTCTGTAGAATTTCCAAGTGAATATTTAGCCCCGTATGAAGCTTATGGTAGAAAATGCAACATCTTCATAGAAAAACTAGACAGAATGATTCTCAGAAACTACTTTGTGATGTGTGCGTTCAACTCACAGAGGTTAAACTTTCCTTTGATAGAGCAGTTTTGAAACACTCTTTTTGTACAATCTGCAAGTGAATATTTGAACTGTTTTGAGGCCTTCGTTGGAAACGGGATTTCTTCATATAAAACTTGACAGAAGAATTCTCAGAAACTTCTTTGTGATGTGTGCATTCAACTCACAGAGTTGAACCTTCCCTTCGATAGAGCAGTTTTGAAATTCTGTTTTTGTAGAATTTCCAAGTGGATATTTAGAGTGGTTAGAGGCATATGGTAGAAAAGTAAATATCTTCATAGAAAAAGTAGAGAGAATCATTCTCAGAAACTACCTTGTGATGTCTGCATTCAGGTTAAAGAATTTAACGTTTCTTTTGATAGAGCAGGTTTAAAGTACTCTTTTTGTGGAATTGGTAGTGTATAATTAGAGTGCTTTGAGTCCTACGGTAGGAAAGAAAATATCTTCACATAAAAAATAGACAGAAGCATTATCAGAAACCAATTTGTGATATTTGCATTCAACTCACAGAGTTGAACATTCCTCTTGATGGAACAGATTTAAAACACTCTTTTTGTAGAATCTGCAAGTGGATATTTGGACCTCTTTGTGGCCTTCCTTGGAAATGTGATTTCTTCATATAAAACTAGACAGTAGAATTATCAGAAACTTCTTTGTGATGTGTCCTTTCAACACACATAGTTGAACCTTCCTTTCGATAGAGCAGTTTTGACAGTCTCTTTTTGCAGTATTTCCAAGTGGATATTTAGCGCTGTTTGAGGCCTATGGTAGCAAAGGCAATATCTTCATAGAAAACAAGACAGAATCATTCTCCAAAACTACTTCGTGATGTTTGCATTCAACTCACCGAGTTTTACCTTTCTTTTGATAGAGCAGTTTTGAAACCTTCTTTTTGTAGAATCTGCAAGTGAATATTTGGACTTTTTTGAGGCCTTCATTGGAAACGGGATTTCTTCATAGAAAACTTGACAGAAGAATTCTCAGAAACTTCTTCGTGATGTGTGCATTCAACTCTCTGATTTGAACCTTCCTTTCGATAGAGCAGTTTTGAAATACTCTTTTTGTAGAATTTCCAAATGGATAGTTAGAGCGGTTTCAGACCTATGGTAGAAAGGGAAATATCTTCATACAAAAACTAGACAGAAACTTTCTCTGAAACTACTTTGTGATGTACGCATTCAGCTTAGACTGTTTAAACTTTCTTTTGGTAGAGCAGTTTTAAACAGTCTTTTTGTGGAATTTGCAAGTGTATATTTAGAGCGCTTAGAGGCCTACGGTGGAAAAGGAAATATCTTCACATAAAAACTACACAGAAACATTGTCAGAAACTACTTTGTGATATTTGCATTCTACTCACTTAGTTGAATATTCCTCTTGACAGAGCAGTTTTGAAACACTCTTTTTGTAGAATCTACATATGGATATTTGGACCTCTTTGAGGCCTTCGTTAGAAACGTGATTTCTTCATGTAAAACTAGACAGAATAATTCTCAGAAACTTCTTTGTGATGTGAGCTTTCATCTCACCGATTTGAACCTTCCTTTCGATAGAGGAGTTTTGAAACTCTCTTTTTGTAGAATTTCCGAGTGGATATTTAGTGCCTATTGAGGCCTATGGTAGAAAAGGCAATATCTTCATAGAAAAAGTAGACAGAATGATTCTCAGAAACTACTCTGTGATGCGTGCGTTCAACTCAGAGAGTTTAAACATTATGTAGACAGAGCAGTTTTGAAACTCTCTTTTTGTAGAATCTGCAAGTGAATATTAGGACTTTTTTGAGGCCTTCGTTGGAAACGGGATTTCTTCATATAAAACTTGTCAGAAGATTTCTCAGAAACTTCTTTGTGATGTGTGCATTCAACTCATAGAAGTAAAACTTCCTTTCGATAGATCAGTTTTGAAATTCTCTTTTTGTAGAATTTCCGATTGGATATTTAGAGCGGCTTGACGCCTATGCTAGAAAAGGAAATATCTTCATAGAAAAACTAGACAGAATCATTCTCAGAAACTACCTTTTGATGTGTGCATTCAGCTTATGGAGTTTAACATTTTTTTTGATAGAGCAGTTTTAAACAGTCTTTTTGTGGAATTTGCAATTGTATATTTATAGTGCATTGAGGCATACGGTAGAAAAGGAAATATCTTCACATAAAAACTAGACAGAAGCATTGTCAGAAACTACTTTGTGATATTTGCATTCAACATACAGGGTTGAACATTCCTCTTGATCGAGCAGATTATAGACACTCCTTTTTCAGAATCTACAAGTGGATATTTTTACCTCTTTGTGGCCGTCGTTTGAAACGTGATTTCTTCATTTAAAACTAGACAGAAGAATTCTCAGAAATCTCTTTGTGATGTGTGCTTTCAACTCAAATATTTGAACATTCCTTTCGATAGAGCAGTTTTGATTCTCTACTTTTGTAAAATTTCCAAGTGGATATTTAGCGCCATTTGAGGCCTATGGTAGAGAAGGCAATATCTTCACAGAAAAACTAGTCAGAATGATTCTCAGAAACTACTTTGTGATGTGTGCGTTGAACGCACGGAGTTTAAGCTTTCTATTGATAGAGCAATTTTGAAACACTGTTTTTGTAGAATCTGCAATTGAATATTTGGGGTTTTTTGAGGCCTTCGTTGGAAACGGGATTTCTTCATATAAAACTTGACAGAGGAATTTGCAGAAACTACTTTGTGATGTGTGCATTCAACTAACAGAGTTGACACTTCCTTTCGAATGTGAAGTTTTGAAATACTCTTTTTGTAAAATTTCCAAGTGTATATTCAGATCGGTTTGAGGCCTATGGTAGAAAAGGTAATATCTTCATAAGAAAACCAGACAGAATCATTCTCAGAAACTACTTTGTGATGTGTGCATTTAGCTTACAGAGTTTAACCTTTCCTTTGATAGAGCAGTTTTGAAACACTCTTTTTGTGGGATTTGCAAGTGTATATTTAGAGCGCTTTGAGGCCTACGGTAGAAAAGGAAATATCTTCCAATAACAACTAGACAGAAGGGATGTCAGAATCTCCTTTGTGTTATTTGCATTCAACTCACAGAGTTGAACATTGCTCTTGATAGAGCAGTTTTTAAGCACTCTTTTTGCACAATCTACAAATGGATATTTGGACCTCTTTGTGGCCTTCGTTTGAAACGTGATTTCTTCATTTACAACTAGACAGAAGAATTCTCAGAAACTTCTTTGAGATATGTGCTTTCAACTCCCAGAGTTGAATCTTCCTTGCGATAGAGTATTTTTGAAATTGCCGTTTTGCAGAATTTACAAGTGGATACTTATTGCCGTTTGAGGCATGTGGTAGAAAACGCAATATCTTCAGAGAAAAACCAGACAGAATGATTCTCAGAAAATACTTTGTGATGTGTGCATTCAACTCCTAGTGTTGAACCTTCCATTCGATAGAGCGGTTTTGAAACACTCTTTTTGTGGAATTTGCAAGTGTATATTTAGAGCGGTTTAGGGCCTACGTTAGAAAAGGATATATAGTCACATAAAAACTAGGCAGAATCATTGTCAGAAACTACTTTGTGATATTTGCGTTAAACTCACAGAGTTGAACTTTCCTCTTGATAGAGAAGTTTTGAAACACTCTTTTTGTAGAATCTGCGAGTGGATATTTGGACCTCTTTGGGCTCTCGTTAGAAATGTGATTTCTTCATATAAAACTACACAGAAGAATTCTCAGAAACTTCTTTGTGATGTGTGCTTTCCACTCACAGAGTTGAACCTTCTTTCGATAGAGCAGTTTAGAAACTCTCCTTTTGTAGTATTTCCAAGTGGATATCTAGCGCCATTTGAGGAATATGGTAGAAAAGGCAATATCTACATATAAAAACTGGACAAAATGATTCTCAGAAACTACTTTGTGAAGTGTTCATTCAACTCACAGAGTTTCACATTTCTTTTGATAGAGCAGTTTTGAAACACTCTTTTTGTAGTATCTACAACTAAATATTTGGACTTTTTGAGGCCTTCCTTGGAAAGGGGATTTCTTCATATGAAACTTGACAGAAGAATTCTCAGAAACTTCTTTGTGATGTGTGCGTTCAACTCACAGATTTGAACCTTCCTTTCGATAGAGCAGTTTTGAAATACACTTTTTGCAGGATTTCTAAGTGGATACTTTTAGTGGTTTTCAGGCCTGTGGTAGAAAAGGAAATATCTTCTTAGAAAAACTAGACAGAATCATTCTGAGAAACTGCTTTGTGTTGTGTGCATTCAGCTTAAAAAATTTAACCTTTCTTTTGATAGAGCTGTTTTGAAACACTCTTTTTGTGGTATTTGTAAGTGTATATTTAGAGTGCTTTGAGGCCTACTGTAGAAAAGGAAATATCTTCACAAAAAAACTAGACAGAAGCATTGTCAGAATCTGCTTTGTGATATTGGCATTCAACTCACAGAGTTGAACATTCCTCTTGATAGATCACTTTAGAAACACTCATTTTGTAGAATCTGCCAGCGGATATTTGGACCTCTCTGTGGACTTCGTTTGAAACGTGATTTCTTCATATAAAATCAGACAGAAGAATTCTCAGAAAGTTATTTCTATTGTGTGATTTCAACTCAGAGAGTTGAACCTTCCTTTCCATAGAGCAGTTTTGAAACTCTTTTTGTAGAATTTCTAAGTGGATATTTATTGCCGTTTGATGCCTATGGTGGAAAAGGCAATACCTTCATAGAAAAACTAGGCAGAATGATTCTCAGAAACTACTTTGTGATGTGTGCATTCAACTCACAAAAACGAACATTCCTTTCGATAGAGGAGTTTTGAAATACTCTTTTTGTAGAATTTCCAAGTGGATATTTAGAGCGGTTTGAGGCCTGTGATAGAAAAGGAAATATCTTCATAGAAAAACTAGACAGAATCATTCACAGAAAGTACTTTGTGATATGTGCATTCAGCTTACGGAGTTTAATCTTTCTTTTGATAGAGCAGTTTTGAAACACTCTTTTTGTAGAATCTGCAAGCGGATATTTGGACCTCTTTGTGGCCTTCGTTTGAAACGTGATTTCTTCATATAAAACTAGACAGAAGAATTCTCAGAAACTTCTTTGTGATGTCAGCTTTCAACTCCTATTGTTGAAACTTCCGTTTGATAGAGCAGTTTTGAAAATCTCTTTTGGTAGGATTTCCAAGTGGATATTTACCGCCGTTTGAGACCTGTGTTAGAAAAGGCAATATCTTCATAGAAAAACTAGACAGAATGATTCTCAGAAACTACTTTGTGATGTGTGCGTTCAACTCACAGAGTTTAACCTTTCTTTTGATAGAGCAGTTTTGAAACACTCTTTTTGTGGAATTTGCAATTGTATATTTAGAGCGCTTAGAGGAATACTGTAGAAAAGGAATTATCTTCATATAAAAACAAGACAGAAGCATTGACAGAAACTACTACGTGATATTTGCATTCAACTCACAGAGATAAACATTCCTCTAGATAGAGAAATTTTGAAACTTTCTTTTTGTAGAATCTGTAGGTGAATATTTGGACTTTTTGCGTCCTTCATTTGAAACCTGATTTCTTCAAATGAAACATGACAGAAAAATTCTCAGAAACATCTTTGTGATGTGTGCATTCAACTCAAAGATTTGAACATTCATTTCCTTTGAGCAGTTTTGAAATACTCCTTTTGGAGTATTTCCATGTGGACATTTAGAGCGGTTTGAGGCCTGTGGTAGAAAAGGAAGTATCTTCATAGAAAAAGTAGACCGAATCATTGTCAGAAAATACTTTGCAATGTGTGCATTCAGCTTACAGAGATTACACTTTCTTTTGATAGACCAGTTTTGAAACACTCTTTTTCTGGAATCTGCGAGGGGATATTTGGATCTCTTTGTGGCCTTCGCTTGAAATGTGATTTCGTCAAATAAAACTAGACAGAAAAATTCTCAGAAACTTATTGGTGATGTGTGCTTTCATCTCACAGAGTTGAACTTTCCTTTCGATAGAGCAGTTTTAAACTCTCTTTTTGTAGATTATCCAAGTGGATATTTAGTGCCGTTTGAGGCCTATGGTAGAAAAGTTAATATCTTCATAGAAAAATTACACAGAATGATTCTCAGAAACTACATTGTGCTGTGTGCATTCAGCTCACACAGTTTAATCTTTCTTTTGATAGAGCAGTTGTGAAGTACTGTTTTTGTAGAATCTGCAAGTGAATATTTGGACTTCTTGGGGCCTTTGTTGGAAACGAGATTTCTTCATATAAAACGTGACAGAAGAATTCTCAGAAACTGCTTTGTGGTGTGTGCATTCAACTCACAGAATTGAAATTTCCTCTCTATCGAACAGTTTTGATATACTCTTTTTGTAGATTTTCCAAATGGATATTTAGAGCGGTTTGAGGCCTGTGGTAGAAAAGGAAATACCTTCGTAGAAAAACTATACAGAATCATTCACAGAAACTACTTTTTGATGTTTGCATTCAGCTTACAGAGTTTAATCTTTCTTTTGATAGCGCAGTTTTGAAACACTGTTTTTGTAGAATCTGCAAGTGAATATTTGGACTTTTTGGGGGCCTTCGTTGGTCACGGAATTTCCTCATATAAAACGTGAAAGAAGAATTATCAGAAACTTTTTTCTGATGTGTGCATTCAACTCACAGAGTTGAACCTTCCTTTGGATAGAGCAGTTCTGAAGTAGTCTTTTGGTAGTATTTCCAACTGGATATTTAGAGCGGTTGGAGGCCTGTGGTAGAAAAGGAAATATCTTCACAGACAAACTAGACAGAATAATTGTCAGAAACTACTTTGTGATGTGTGCATTCAGCTTACAGAGTTTAACCTTTGTTTTGGTAGAGCAGTTTTGAAACACTCTTTTTGTGGAATTTGCAAGAGTATATTTAGAGCGCTTAGAG
The DNA here is from genome assembly GCF_000001405.40 of Homo sapiens. NCBI lineage: Eukaryota > Metazoa > Chordata > Mammalia > Primates > Hominidae > Homo > Homo sapiens. The sequence goes on along the minus strand of NC_000003.12, from coordinate 90,532,041 downwards.
GCCTACGGTAGAAAAGGAAATATCTTCACATAAAAAGTAGGCAGAAGCATTGTAAGAAACTACTTTGTGATATTTGCTTACAACTCACCGTGTTGAACATTCCTCTTGATAGAGCAGTTTTGAAACTCTCTTTTTGTAGAATCTGCGAGTGATTTGGACTTCTTTGTGGCCTTCGTTTGAAACGTGATTTCTTCGTATAAAACTACACAGAAGAATTCTCAGAAACTTCTTTGTGACGTGTGCTTTCAACTCAGAGTTGAACCTTCCTTTCCATACAGCAGTTGTGAAACTGTCTTTTTGTAGTATTTCCAAGTGGTTATATAGCGCTGTTTGAGGCCTATGGTAGAAAAGACAATATCTTCATAGAAAAACTAGACAGAATGATTCTCAGAATCTACTTTGTCATGTGTGCGTTCATCTCATAGGGTTTATCTTTTCTTTGATATAGCAGTTTTGAAACACTCTTTTTGTACAATCGGCTATTAAATATTTAGGCTTTTTTGGGGCATCCGTTGGAAACGGGATTTCTTCATTTAAAACGTGACAGAAGAATTCTCAGAAACTCCTTTAGGGTGTGCGCATTCAACTCACATTGTTGAACCTTTCTTTCGATAGAGCAGTTTTGAAATACTCTTTTTGTAGTATTTCCAAGTGGATATTTAGAGTGGTTTGAGGCCTACAGTAGAAAAGGAATTATCTTCAAAAAAAACTAGACAGAATCATTCTCAGAAACGACTTTGTGATGTGTGCATTCAGCTTACAGACTTTAAACTTTCTTTTGATAGAACAGTTTTGAAACACTCTTTTTTTATGGTATTTGCAAGTGCATATCTATAGCGGTTTGAGGACTACGGTAGAAAAGGAAATATATTCAATTAAAAACTAGACAGAAGCATTGTCAGAAACTACTATGTGATATTTACATTCAACTAATGGTGTTGAACATTCGTCTTGATAGATCACTTTGGAAACACTATTTTTGTAGGATCTTCAAGTAAATATTGGGACTTTTTGAAGCCTTCTTTGGAAATGTCATTTCTTCATATAAAACTTGACAGAAGAATTCAGAGACACTTCTTTGAGACTTGTGCATTGAACTCACAGAGTTGAACCTTCCTTTTGATAGAGCAGTTTTGAAATACTCTTTTTGAAGTATTTCCAAGTAGATATTTAGAGCGGTTTGAGGCCTATGGTAAAAAAGGAAATATCTTCTTAGAAAAACTAGACAGAATCATTCTCAGAAACTATTTTGCAATGTGTGCATTCAGCTAACATTGTTTAAGCTTTCTTTTGATAGAGCAGTTCTGAAACACTCTTTTTGTGGAATTTGTAAGTGTATATTTAGAGCGCTTTGAGGCCTACTGTAGAAAAGGAAATATCTTCACGTAAAAAACTAGGCAGAAGAATTGTCAGAAACTACTTTGTGATGTTTGCATTCAACTCACAGAGTTGAACTTTCCTCTTGACAGAGCAGTTTTGAAACTCTCTTTTTGTAGAATCTGCAAGTGGATATTTGGACTTCTTTGTGGCCTTCCTTTGAAACGTGATTTCTTCATATAAAACTAGACAGAAGAATTCTCAGAAATTTTTTGGGATATATGCTTTCAACTCACAGAGTTGAATCTTTCTATCGATAGAGCAGTTTTGAAACTGTCCTTTAGTAGAATTTCCAAGTGGATACTTAGCACCGTTTGAGACCTATGGAAGAAAAGGCAATATCTTCATAGAAAAACTAGACAGAATGATTCTCAGAAACTACTTTGTGATGTATGCGTTCAACGCACAGGGTTTAACGTTTCTTTTGATAGAGCAGTTTTGAAACACACTTTTGGTAGAATCTGCAAGTGAATATTTGGACTTTTTTGAGGCCTTCTTTGGAAACGTGATTTCTTCATATAAAACTATACAGAAGAATTCTCAGAAACTTCTTTGTGATGTGTGCATTCAACTCACAGAGTTGAACCTTCCTTTCGATAGAGCAGTTTTGAAATGCTCTTTTTGTAGAATTTCCATGTGGATATTTATTGCGGTTTGAAGCCTATGGTAGAAATGGAAATATCTTCGTAGAAAAACAAGACAGAATCATTATCAGAACCTAGTTTGTGAAGTGTGCATACAGCTTTCAGAGTTTAACCTTTGTTTTGATAGAGCAGTTATGAAACACTCTTTTTGTGTAATTTCCAAGTATATAGTTAGAGCGCTTTGTGGTCTACCATAGAAAAGGAAATATCTTCACATAAAAACCAGACAGAGGCATTGTCAGAAACTACTTTGTGATATTGGCATTCAACTCACAGAGATGGACATTCCTCTTGATGGTGCAGTTTTAAAACACTCTGTTTGTAGAATCTGCAATTGAATATTTGGACCTCTTTGTGGCGTTCTTTTGAAATGTGATGTCTTCATATAAAACAGGACAGAGGAATTCTCAGAAACTTCTTTGTGATGTGTGTTTTCAACTCACAGTGTTGAACATTCCTTTTGATAGAGCAGTTTTGAAACTCACTTTTTGTAGACCTTACAAGTGGATATTTAGCGCCGTTTGAGGCCTATCGTTGAAAAGGCAATATCTTCATAGAAAAACTAGATAGATAGAATGATTCTCAGAAACTACTTTGTGAGTTGTGCGTTGAACTCAAAGGGTTTAACGTTTCTGTTGATAGATCAGTTTTGAAACAAATTTTTGTGGAATCTGCAAGTGAATATTTGGACTTTTTTGAAGCCTTCGTTGGAAACGGGTTTTCTTCATATAAAATTGAACAGAAGAATTCTCAGAAACTTCTTTGTGATGTGTGCATTCAACTCACAGAGTTGAAACTTCTTTTCGAAAGAGCAGTTTTGAAATACTGTTTTTGTATAATTTCCAAGTGGATATTTAGCTCCGTTTGAGGCCTCTGGTAGAAAAGGAAATAACATCATAGAAAAACTATACAGAATCATTCTCAGAAACTACTTTGTGATGTTTGCATTCAGCTGACAGAGATTAACCTTACTTTTGATAGAGCAGTTTTGAAACCCTACTTTTGTGGAATTTGCAAGTATATATTTAGAGCGCTTTGAAGGCTACGTAGAAAAGGAAATATCTTCACATAAAAACTAAACAGAAGCATTGTCAGAAACTACTTTGTGATATTTGCATTCAACTCACAGAGTTAAACATTCCTCTTGACAGAGCAGGTTGAAATACTCTTTTTGTAGAATCTGCAATTGATTATTTGGTCCTCTTTGTGGCGTTCGTTTGAAATGTGATTTCTTCATATAAAACTAGGCAGAAGAATTCTCAGAAGCTTCTTCGTGATGTGTGGTTTTAACTCACAGAGTTGAACCTTCCTTTCCACAGAGGTGTTTTGAAACTCTCTTCTTGTAGAATTTTCAAGTTGATATTTATCGCCGTTTGAGGCCTATGGTAGAAAAGGCAATAACTTCTTGGAAAAACTAGACAGAATGATTCTCAGAAACTACATTGTGATGTGTGCTTTCAACTCACTGAGTTTAAGCTTTCATTTGATAGAGAAGTTTTGAAACACTCTTTTTGTAGAATCTGCATGTCAATATTTCCACTTTTTTGAGGCCTTCGTTGGAAACGGGATTTCTTCATAAAACTTGACAGAAGAATTATAAGAAACTTATTTGGGTGGTGTGCATTTAACTCAGAGAGTTGAAATTTGCTTTCCATAGAGCAGTTTTGAAATACTCTTTGTAGAACTTCAAAGTGGATATTTAGTGTCGTTTGAGGCCTATGGCAGAAAAAGAAATATCTTCATAGAAAAACAAGACAGAATCATTTTCAGAAGCTACTTTGTGATGTGTGCATTCAGCTTACAGTGTTTAACCTTCCTTTTGATAGCGCAGTTTGAAACACCCTTTTTGTTCAGTTTGCAAGTGTATATTTTAGTGTTTTGAGGCCTATGGTAGAAAAGGAAGTATCTTCACATGAAAACTAGACAGAAGCATTGTCAGAAAGTACTTTGTGATATTTGCATTCAACACACAGAGTTGAAAATTCCTCATGATAGAGGAGATTTGAATCACTCTTTTTTTAGAATCTGCAATTGGATATTTGGACCTCCTTGTGGCGTTCGTTTGAAACGTGATTTCTTCACATAAAACTAGACAGAAGAGTTCTCAGAAACCTCTTTGTGATGTGTGCTTTCAACTCACAGAGTTGAAACTTTCTTTCGATAGAGGAGCTTAGAAACTCTCTTTTTGTTGAATTTCCAAGTGGATATTTATCACCGTTTGAGGCCTATGGTAGAAAAGGAAATATCTTCTAAGAAAAACTAGATAGAATGATTCTGAGAAACTTCTTTGTGATGTTTGCTTACGACTCACAGAGTTTAACCTTTCTTTTGATAGAGCTTTTTTGAAACAGTCTTTTTGTAGAATCTGCAAGTGAATATTTGGACTTTTTGGAGGCCTTCTTTGGAAACGGGATTTCTTCATAGAAAACTTGACAGAAGAATCCTCAGAAACTTCTTTGTGATGTGCACATTCAACTCACAGAGTTAAAACTTCCTTTGGATAGAGCAGTTTTGAAATACTCTTTTGTAGAATTTCCATTTGGATATTTAGAGCAGTTTGAGGCCTAAGGTAGAAAACGAAATATCTTCTTATAAAAACTAGACAGAATCATTCTCAGAAACTAATTTGTGATGTGTGCATTCAGCTTACAGAGTGTAACCTCTCTGATGACAGAGCAGTTTTGAAGCACTCTTTTTGTGGAATTTTCAAGTGTATAATTAGAGCGGTTTCAGGCCTACGGTAGAAAAGTAAATATCTTCATATAAAAACCAGACAGAACCATTGTCGGAAACTCTTTTGTGACATTTGCATTCAAATCACAGAGTTGAACATACCTCTTGATAGAGCAGTTTTGGAACACTCTTTTTGTAGAATCTGCAAGTGGATATTTGGACCTTTTTGTTGTCTTCGTTTGAAACTTGATTTCTTCATCTAAAACTAGACAGAACAATTCTCAGAAACTTCTTTTTGATGTATGCTTTCAACCCACAGAGTTGAGCATTCCTTTCGATAGAGGAGTTTTGAAATTCTCTTTTTGTAGAATTTCCAAGTGGATATTTACCGCCTTTTGGGGCCTATGGTAGAAAAGGAAATATCTTCATAGAAAAACTAGACAGAATGTATCTCAGAAACTACATTGTCATGTGTGCGTTCAACTCACACAGTTTAATTTTTCTTTTGATAGGGCCGTTTTGAAACACTCTTTTTGTAGAATCAGCAATTGAATATTTGGACTTCTTTGGGGCCTCCGTTGGAAACGGGATTTCTTCATTAAAATGTGACAGAAGAATTCTCAGACACTTCTTTGGGATGAGTGCATTCAACTCACAGAGTTGCACCCTTCTTTCGTTAGAGCAGTTTTGAAATACTCTTTTTGTAGTATTCCCAAGTGGATAATTAGAGCGGTTTCAGGCCTGTGGTAGAAAAGGAAATATCTTCATAGAAAAACTAGACAGAATCATTCTCTGAAACTACTTTGTGATGTGTGCATTCGGGTTACAGAGTTTAACCGTTCTTTTGATAGAGCAGTTTTAATACACTACACTCATTTTGTGGGATTTGTTAGAGTATATTTAGAGCTCTTTGAGGCCGACGGAAGAAAAGGAACTATCTTCACATAAAATCTAGACAGAAGCATTGTCAGAAACTACATTGTGACATTTGATTCAACTCACGGAATTGAACATTCCTCTTGATAGAGCAGTTTTGAAACCCTCTTTTTGTAGAATCTGCAATTGGATATTTGGACCTGTTGGTGGCCTTCTTTTGAAACGTGATTTGTTCATATAAAGCTAGACAGAAGGATTCTCAGAAACTTCTTTGTGATGTGTGCTTTCAACTCACAGAGCTGAACCTTCCTTTCGAGAGAGGAGTACTGAAGCTCTCTTTTTGTAGAATTTCCAAGTGGATATTTAGTGCCGTTTGAGGACTGTGGTAGAAAAGGAAATATCTTCATAGAAAAACCAGACAGAATGATTCTCAGAAACTACTTTGTGATGAGTGCGTTCACCTCCATAGTTTAACCTCTCTATTGAGAGAGCAGTTTTGAAACACTCTTTTTGTAGAATCTGCAAGGGAATATTTGGACTTTTTTGAGGCCTTCTTTGTAAACGGGATTTCTTTACATAAAACTTGACAGAAGAATATCCAGAAACTTCTTTGTGATGTGTGCATTCAACTCAAAGGGTTGAACCTTCCTTTCGATAGAGCAGTTTTGAAACTTTATTTTATAGAATTTCCAAGTGTATATTTAGCGCCGTTTGAGGAGTATGGTAGAAAAGGAAATATCTTCATAGAAAAACTAGACAGAATCTTTCTCCGAAACAACTTTGTGATGTGTGCATTCAGCTTGCAAAGTTTAACCTTTCTTTTGATAGAGCAGTTTTGAAGCAGTCTTTTCTTGGAATTTGCAAATGTATATTTAGAGCGCTTTGAGGCCTACGGTAGAAAAGGAAATGTCTTCACATAAAAACTAGACAGAAGCATTGTCAGAAACTACTTTGTGATATTTGCATTCCACTCACAGAGGTGAGCATTCCTCTTGATAGAGCAGTTTTGGAAGACTCCTTTTCAAGAATCTTGCAATTGATTATTTGGACGTCTTTGTGGCCTTCTTTTGAAACGGGATGTCTTCATATAAAACTAGACAGAATAATTCTCAGAAACTACTTTGTGATGTGTGCTTTCAACTCACAGGGTTGTACTTTCCTTTCGATAGAGCGATTTTGAAACTCACATTTTGTAGAATTTCAAAGTGGATTTTGAGCGCCATTTCAGGCCTTTGGTATAAAAGGAATTATCTTAATAGAAATACTAGACCGAATGATTTTCAGAAACTACTTTGTGATGTGTGCGTTGAACTCACAGAGTTTAACCTTTCTGTTGATAGAGCAGTTTTGATACACTCTTTTTGTCGAATCTGCAAGTGAATATTTTTGACTTTTTTGAGGCCTTCGTTTGAAACTGCATTTCCTCATATAAAACTTGTCAGAAAAATTCTCAGAAACTTCTTTGTGATGTGTGCATTCAACTCACAGAGTTGAACCTTCCTTTCTATTGAGAAGTTTTTAAATAATACTCTTTTTGCAGAATATCCAAGTGGATATTTTTAGCGGTATTTAGACCTGTGGTAGAAAAGGAAATATCTTCTTAGAAAAACCGGACAGAATCATTCTGAGAAACTGCTTTTTGATGTGTGCATTGAGATTACAGAATTTAACCTTTCTTTGGATAGAGCAGTTTTGAAACTGTCTGTGGAATTTTTGTTTATTTAGGGCACTTTGAGGTATACAGTAGAAAAGGAAATATCTTCACATAAAAACGAGACAGAAACATTGTCAGAAACTGCTTTGTGATATTTACATTCAACTCTCAAAGTTGAAAATTCCTCTTGATAGAGCAGTTTTGAAACACCCTTTTTGTAGAATCTGCAAGTGGATATTTGGACTTCTTTGTGGCCTTCGTTTGAAACGTGATTTATTCAAATGAAACTAGACGGAAGAATTCTCAGAAACTTCTTCGTATTGTGTGCTTTCATCTCACAGATTTGAAGCTTCCTGTCAATAGAGCAATTTTGAAACTGTCTTTTTCTAAAATTTCCAATTGGATATTTAGTGTCGTTTGAGGCCTATGGTATAACAGAAAATATCTTCATAGAAAGACTAGACAGAATGATTCTCAGAATCTACTTTGTGAAGAGTGCTTTCAACTCACAGAGTTTAACCTTTCTTTTCATAGAGCAGTTTTGGAACGGTATTTTTGTAGTATCTGTGAGTGGATATTTAGACCTCTTTGTGGCATTCGTTAGAAACGTGATTTCTTCATGTAAAACTTCACAGAAGAATTCTAAGAAACTTCTTTTTGATGTGTGCTTTCAACTCACAGAGTTGAACCTTTCTTTCGATAGAGCACTTTTGAAACTCTGTTTTTGTAGTATTTCCAAGTGGATATTTAGCGCCGTTTGAGGCCTATGGTAGAAAAGGCAATATCTTCATAGAAAAACTAGATAGAATGATTCTCAGAAACTACTTTGCCATGTGTGCGTTCAACTCACAGAGTATAACTTTTCTTTTGATAGAGCAGTTTGGAGACACTCTTTTTGTAGAATCTGCAATTGAATATTTGGACTTTTTTGGGTCTCCATTGGAAAGGAGGTTTCTTCATTTAAAACGTGAGAGAAGAATTCTCCGAAAGTTCTTTGGAATTTGTGCATTCAACACACAGTGTTGCACCTTTTTTTCGATAGAGCAGTTTTGAAATACTCTTTTTGTAGAATTTCCAATTGGATATTTAGAGTGGTTTGAGGCCTATGGTAGAAAAGGAAATATCTTCATAGAAAATCTAGACAGCATCATTCTCTGAAACTACTTTGTGATGTGTGCATTCGGGTTACACAGTTTAACCTTTCTTTTGATAGAGCAGTTTTGAAAAAATCTTTTTGTGGAATTTGCAAGTGTATATTTAGAGCTCTTTGAGGCCTACGGCAGAAAAAGATATATCTTCACATAAAAACTAGACAGAAGCTTTGTCAGAAACTACTTTGTGATATTTGCATTCAACTCACAGAGTTGAACATTCCTCTTGATAGAGCAGTTTTGAAACACTCTTTTCGTAGAATCTGCAAGTGGATATTTGGATCCCTCTGTGGCCTTCGTTTGAAACGTGATTTCTTCATATAAAACTAGACAGAAGAATTCTCAGAAACTTCTATGTGATATGTGCTTTCAACTAACAGAGTTGAAACTTCCTTTCGATAGAGCAGTTTTGAAACTCTCTTTTTGTAGAATTTCCAAGTGGATATTTAGCGCCGTTTGAGGCCTTTTGTAGAAAAGGAAACAACTTCACAGAAAAATTAGACAGAATGATTCTCAGAAACTCCTTTGTGGTATGTGCGTTCAACTCACAGAGTTTAATATTTCTTTTGATAGAGCAGTTTTGTAACACTCTTTTTGCAGAAAATTCAAGTGAATATTTGGACTTTTTTGAGACCTTCATTGGAAAAGGTATTTCTTCAAATAAAATTTGACAGAAGAATTCTCAGAAACTTCTTTGTGATGTGTGCTTCCAACTCACAGAGATGAATCTTCCTTTTGATAGAGCAGTTTTGAAATACCCTTTTTGTTGTATTTCCAAGTTGGTATTTAGAGCAGTTCGAGGCCTGTGGTAAAAAAGGAAATATCTTAAAAGGAAAACTAGACAGAATCATTCTCAGAAACTGCTTTGTGATGTTTGAATTCAGCTTTCAGAGTTTAACCTTTCTTTTGATACAGACCTTTTGAAACACTATTTTGGGGAAAGTGTATATTTAGAGCACTTTGAGGTCTACTGTAGAAAATGAAATATCGTCACATAAAAACTAGACAGAAGCATTGTCAGAAACCACTCTGTGATATTTGCATTCAACTCACAGAGTTGAACATTCCTCTTGATAGAGCAGTTTTGAAACACTCTTTTTGTAGAATCTGCAAGTGGATATTTGGACCTCTTTGTGGCCTTCGTTTGAAGCGTTATTTCTTCATGTAAAACTAGATAGAAGATTTCTCAGAAACTTCTTAGTGATGTGTGCTTTCAACTCACAGAGTTGAACCTTCCTTCGATAGAGCAGTTTTGAGGCTCTCTTTTTGTAGAATTTCCAAGTGATATTTAGCACCGTTTGAGGCCTATTGTAGAAAAGGCAATATCTTCATAGAAAAAACAGACAGAATGATTCTCAGAAACTACTTTTTGCGGTGTGAGCCTTCAACTCAAAGAGGTTAACCCTTCTTTTGATAGAGCAGTTTTGAAACGCTCTTTTTGTAGAATCTGCTAGTAAATATTTGGACTTTTTTGAGGCCATCGTGGGAAACTGTATTTCTTCATATAAAAATTTACAGAAGAATTCTCAGAAACTTCTTTGGGATGTGTGCATTCAGATCACAGAGTTTAACATTCATCTTGATAGAGTAGTTTTGAAATGATCTTTTTGTAGAATTTCCAAGTGGATATTCAGAGCGGTTTTTGGCCTGTTGTAGAAAAGGAAATATCTTCATAGAAAAACTAGGCAGAATCATTCTCAGAAACTACTTTGTGATGTGTGCTTTCAGCTTACAGTGTTTAACCTTTCTTTTGATAGAGCAGTTTTGAAACACTCTTTTTGTGGAATTTGCAAGTGTATATTTAGAGCGCTTGGAGGCCTACGGTAGAAAAGGAAATATCTTCACATAAAAACAAGGGAGAGAAGCATTGTCAGAAACTACTTTGTGATATTTACATTCAGCTCACAGAGTTGAACATTCCTCTTGATAGAGCCGTTTTGAAACACTCTTTTTGTAGAATCTGCAAGTGGATACTTGGACCTCTCAGTGGCCTTCCTTTGAAAAGTGATTTCTTCATATAAAACTAGACAGAAGAATTCTCAGAAACAGCTTTGTGTTGTGTGTTTTCAACTCACAAAGTTGAACCTTCCTTTCGATAGAGCAGTTTTGAAAGTCTCTTTTTGTTGTATTTCCAAGTGGATATTTAGCGCCGTTTGAGGCTTAAGGTAGAAAAGGTAATATCTTCATAGAAAAACTAGACAGAATGATTCTCAGAATCTGCTTTGCGGTGTGTGCATTAAAATCACAGAGTTTAACATTTCTTTTGATAGAGCAGGTTTGAAACATTTTTGGAGAATCTGCAAGTGAATATTTGGGCTTTTTTTGAGGCCTTCGTTGGAAACGTGATTTCTTCATATAAAACTTTACAGAAGAATTCTCAGAAATATTTGTGATGCGTTCATCCATCTCACAGATTTGAAACTTCATTTCGATAGAGCAGTTTAGAAATGATCTTTTTGTAGAATTTCCAAGTGGTTATTCAGAGTGGTTTGAGGCCTGTGGTAGAAAAGGAAATATCTTCTTAGAAAAATTAGACAGAACAATTTTCAGAAACTACTTTGTGATGTGTGCGTTCAGATTACGGTGTTTAACCTTGCTTTTGATAGAGCAGTTCTGAAACACGCTTTTTGTGGAATTTGCAAGTGTATGTTTAGAGAGATTTGAGGCCTACGGTAGAAAAGGAAATATCTTCACAGAGAAACTAGACAGAAGCATTGTCAGAAACTACTTTGTGATATTTGCATTCAACTCACCGATTTGAACATTCCTCTAGATAGAGCAGTTTTGAAACACACTTTTCGTAAAATCTGCAAGTGGATATTTGGATCTCTTTGTGGCCTTCGTTTGTAACGTGATTTCTTCATATAAAACTAGACAGAAGCATTCTCAGAAACTTCTTTGTGATGTGTGATTTCAACTCACAGAGTTGAAACTTCCTTTGGATGGAGCAGTTTTGAAACTCTCTTGGTGTAGAATTTCCAAGTGGATATTTACCGGCGTTTGAGGCCTATGGTAGAAAAGGCAATATCTTCACAGAAAAAATAGACAGAATGATTCTCAGAAATTACATTGTGGTGTGTTCATTCAACTCACAGAGTTGAACCTCCAATTTGAAAGAGCAGTTTTGAAATACTCTTTTTGAAGAATTTCCAAGTGGATATTTAGAGCGGTTTGAGGCCTGTGGTAGAAAAGGGAATAACTTCATAGAAAAACTAGACAGAATCATTCTCAGAAACTACTTTGTGATGTGTGCGTTCAACTCACAGAGTTTAACCTTTCTTTTGATAGAGCACGTTGGAAGTACTATTTTTGTAGAATCTGCAAGTGAATATTTGGACTTCTTTGAGACCATCGTTGGAAAAGGTTTATCTTCATATAAAACTTGACAGAAGAATTCTCAGAAACTTCTTTGTGATGTGTGCATTTAATTCACAGGGTTGAACCTTCGTTTCAATAGAGCAGTTTTGAAATACTCTTTTTGTTGAATTTCCAAGTTGATATTTAGAGCGTTTTGTGTCCTGTGGTTCAAAAGGCAATATCTTCATTGAAAAACTAGACAGAATCATTCTCAGAAACTACTTTGTGATGTTTGAATTCAGCTTTCATTGTTTAACCTTTCTTTTGATACAGCAGTTTTAAACACTCTTTTTGTGGACTCTGCAAGTGAGTATTTGGACTTATTTGAGGCCTTCATTGGAAACAGGATTTCTTCATATTAAACTTGACAGAAGAATTCTCAGAAACTTCTTTGTGATGTGTGCATTCAACTCACAGAGTTGAACCTTCATTTTGATAGAGCAGTTTTGAAATACTCTTTGTAGAATTTCCAAGTGGATATTTATAGTGATTTGAGGCCTGTGGTAGAAAAGGATATATCTTCATAGAAAAACTAGAGAGAATCATTCTCTGAAACTACTTTGTGATGTGTGCTTCGGCTTACAGAGTTTAACCTTTCTTTTGATAGAGCAGTTTTGAAACACTCTTTTTGTGGAATTTGAAAGTGAATCTTTAGAGTGCTTTGAGGCCTACTGTAGAAAAGGAAGTATCTTCACATAAAAAGTAGACAGAAGCATTGTCAGAAACTACTTTGTGATATTTGCATACAACTCACCGAGTTGAATATTCCTCTTGATAGAGCAGTTTTGAAACAATCTTTTTGTAGGATCTGCAAGTGCATATTTGGACCTCCTTGTGGCCTTCGTTTCAAACGTGATTTCTTCATATAAAAATAGAGAGGAATTTTCAGAAACTTCTTTGTGATGTGTGCTTTCAACTCACAGAGTTGAACCTTCCTTTCGATAGCCCAGTTTTGAAACTCTCTTTTTGTAGTATTTCCAAGTGGATATTTAGTGCCGTTTGAGGCCTATGTTAGAAAAGGCAATATCTTCATAGAAAAACTTGACAGAATGATTCTCAGAAACTACTTTGCGATGTGTGAGTTTAACTCACACATTTTAACCTTTCTTTTGATGAGCAGTTTTAAAACACTTTTTGTAGAATCCGCAACGAATATTTGGACGTTTTGGGGGCCTTCGTTGGAAACGCGATTTCTTCATATATAACATGACAGGAGAATTCTCAAAAACTTTTTTGTGATGTGTGCTTTCAACTCACAGAGTTGAACCTTCTTTTCGATAGAGCACTTTTGAAATACTCTTTTTGTAAAATTTCCAAGTGGGTATTTAGAGCGGTTTGAGGCCTGTGGAAGAAAAGGATATATCTTCATAGAAAAACTAGACAGAATCATTCTCAGAAACATTTTGCGATGTGTGCATTCAGCTTACAGAGATTACCCTTTCTTTTCATAGAGCAGTTTTGAAACACTTTTTTTTTTGGAATCTGCAAGTTTATATTTACAGCGCTTTGAGGCCTACGGTAGAAAAGGAATTATTTTCACATAAAAACTAGAAAGAAGCATTGTCACAAACTACTTTGTGATATTTGCATTCAACTCACAGAGTTGAACATTCCTCTTGATAGAGCAGTTTTGAAACACTCTTTTTGTAGAATCTGTGGGTGGATATTTGGAACTATTTGTGGCCTTCCTTAGAAACGTGATTTCTTCATATAAAACTGCACAGAAGAGTTCTCAGAAACTTCTTTGGGATGTGTGCTTTTAATTCACAGAGTTGAACCTTCCTTTCAATAGAACAGTTTTGAAACTCTCTTTTTGTAGAATTTCCAAGTGGATATTTAGCACCATTTGAGTCCTATGGTAGAAACTGCAATATCTTCATAGAAAAACAAGACAGAATGATTCTCAGAAACTACTTTGTCATGTGTGTGTTCAACTCGCAGTGTTTAACATTTCTTTTGATAGAGTAGTTTTGAAACACTCTTTTTGTAGAATCTGCAACTGAATATTTGGACTTTTTTGGGCCTCCGTTTTAAACGGGATTTCTTCATTAAAAACGTTACAGAAGAATTCTCAGAAACTTCTTTGGGATGTGTGCATTTAACTGACAGTGTTCAACCTGTCTTTCGATAGAGCAGTTTTGAAATACTCTTTTTGTAGATTTCCAAGTGTATATTTTGTGCGGTTAGAGGCCTGTGGTAGAAAAGGAAATATCTTCATAGAAAAATTAGACAGAATCGTTCTCCGAAACTATTTTGTGATGTTTGCATTCGGGTTACACAGTTTAACCTTTCTTTGGATAGAGCAGTTTTGAAAGACTCTTTTTGTGGAATTTGCAAGTGTATATTTAGAGCACTTTGATGCCTATGGTAGAAAAGGAATTATCTTCACATAAAATCCAGACAGAAGTATTGTCAGAAACTACTTTGTGATATTTACATTCAACAAACAGAGTTGAACATTCCTCTTGATAGAGCAGTTTTGAAACGCTCTTTTTGTAGAATCTGCGAGTGTATATTTGGACCTCTTTGTGGCTTTTGTTAGAAACGTGCTTTCTTCGTATAAAACTACACAGAAGAATTCTCAGAAACTTCTTTGTGATGTGTGCTTTCAACTCACAGAGTTGAACCTTCCATTCCATATAGCAGTTTTGAAACTCTCTTTTTCTAGTATTTCCAAGTGCTCATTTAGCGCCGTTTGAGGCCAATGGTAGAAAAGGCAATATCTTCATAGAAAAATTAGAGAGAATGATTCTCATAAACTACTTTGACATGTGTGCGTTCAACTCACAGAGTTTAACTTTTCTTTTGATAGAGCAGTTTTGAAACACTGTTTTTGTATAATCTGCAAGTGAATATTTGGATTTTTGGGGGGCCTTCATTGGAAACGGGATTTCTTCAATTAAAATGTGACAGAAGAATTCTCAGAAACTGCTTTGTGATATGTGCATTCAACTCACAGAATTGAACCTTCCTTTCGATAGAGCAGTGTTGAAATACTCTTTTTGTAGTATTTCCAAGTGGATATTTAGAGCAGATTGAGGCCTTGGTTAGAAAAGGAAATATCTTCATAGAAAAACTAGACGGAATTATTCACAGAAACTACTTGGTGATGTGTGCATTCAGCTTTCAGAGTTTAATCTTTCATTTGATAGAGCAGTTTTGAAACACTGTTTTTGTAGAATCTGCAAGTGAATATTTGGACTTTTTTGGGGCCTTCGTCGGAAACGGGATTTCTTCATATAAAACGTGACACAAGAATTATCAGAAACTTCTTTGTGATGTGTGCATTCGATTCACAGTGATGAACCTTCCTTTCGATAGAGCAGTTTTGAAATACTCTTTTTGTAGAATTTCCAAGTGGATATTTAGAGCGGTTTGAGGCCTATAATAGAAAAGGAAATAACTTCACAGAAAAACTAGGCAGAATCATTCTCAGAAACTGCTTTGTGATGTGTGCATTCAGCTTACAGAGTTTAACCTTTCTTTTGGTAGAGCAGTTTTGAAACAATGGTTTGTGGAATTTGCAAGTGTATATTTAGATCACTTTGAGGCCTACGGTAGAAAAGAAATTTCTTCACATAAAAACTAGAGAGAAGCATTGTCAGAAACCACTTTGTGATATTTGCATTCAACTCACAGAGTTGAACGTTTCTCTTGATAGAGCAGTTTTGAAACACATTTTTGTACAGTCTGCAAGTGGATATTTTGACCTCTTTGTGGCCTTCGTTTGAAACGTGATTTCTTCATATAAAACTAGTCAGAAGAATTCCCAGAAACTTCTTTGTGGTGTGTGCTTTCAACTCACGGAGTAGAACCTTCCTTTCGATAGAGCAGTTTTCAAACTCTCTTTTTTTAGAAATTCCAAGTGGATATTTGGCGTCGTTTGTGGCCTATGGTAGAAAAGGCAATATCTACATAGAAAAACTAGACAGAATGCTTCTCAGAAACTACTTCATGATGTGCGCATTCAACTCACAGAGTTTAACCTTTCTTTTGATAGAACAGTTTTGAAACACACTTTTTGTAGTATCTGCAAGTGAATATTGGGAGTTTTTTGGGGCCTTCGTTGGAAACGGGTTTTCTTCATATAAAACGTGACTGAGGAATTCTCAGAAACTTCTTTGTGATGTGAGCTTTCAACTCACAGTGTTGGACCTTCCTTTCGATAGAGCAGTTTTGAAACTCTCTTTTTGTAATATTTCCAAGTGGATATTTTGAGAGGTTTTAGGCATGTGTTAAAAAAAGGAAATGTCTTCATAGAAAAACTAGACAGAATTATTGTCAGAAACTACATTGTGATGTGTGCATTCAGGTTACAGAGTTTCATATTTCTTTTGATAGAGCAGTTTTGAAACACTCTTTTTGTGGAATTTGCAAGATTCTATTTAGAGCGCTTTGAGGCCTACGGTAGAAAAGGAAATATCCTTACATAAAAACAAGACAGAAGCTTTGTCAGAAACTGATACGTGTTATTTGCATTCAATTCACAGAGTTGAACATTTGTCTTGAAAGAGCAGTTTTGAAACACTCTTTCTGTACCTTCTGCAAGTAGATGTTTGGACTTTTTGAGGCCTTCGTTGGAAATGGCATTTTTTCATGTAAAACTTGACAGAAGAATTCAGAGACACTTCTTTGTGACTTGTGCATTTAACTCTCAGAGTTGAACCTTCTTTTCGATAGAGCAGTTTTGAAATACTCTTTTTGAAGTATTTTCAAGTGGATATTTAGTGCAGTTTGAAACCTACGGTAGAAAAGGAAATATCTTCGTAGAAAAACTAGACAGAATGATTCTCAGAAACTACTTTGTGATGTGTGGGTTCAACTCACTGAGTTTAACCTTTCTTTTGATAGACCAGTTATGAAACACTCTTTTTGTAGAATCTGCAAGTAAATATTTGGACTTTTTTGAGGCCTTCATTGGAAACGGGATTTCTTCATAGAAACCTTGACAGAAGAATTCTCAGAAACTTCTTTGTGATGTGTGCATTTAACTCTCAGAGTTCAGCCTTCCTTTTGATAGAGGAGTGTTGAAATATTCTTTTTGTAGAATTTCCAAGTGAATATTTAGAGCGGTTTCAGGCCTATGTAGAAGAGAAAATATCTTCACAGAAAAACTAGACATAATTGTTCTCTGAAGCTACTTTGTGATGTGCGCCTTCAGCTGACAGAGTTTAACCTTTCTTTGGATCGAGCGGCTTTAAATACTCTTTTTGTGGAATTTGCAATTCTATATTTAGAGTGCTTTCAGGCCTGTGGTACAAAAGGGAATGTCTTCACATAAAATCTAGACAGAAGCATTGTCGGAAACTACTTTGTGATACCTGCCTTCAACTCTCAGAGTTGAATATTCCTCTTGGTGGAGCAGTTTTGAAAAACTCTTTTTGTTGAATCTGCAAGTGGATATTTGGACCTCTTTGTGGCCTTCGTGTGAAACGTGATTTCTTCATTTACAACTAGACAGAAGAATTCTCAGAAACTTCTTTGTGATGTGTGCTTTCAACTCACAGAGTTGAACCTTCCTTTCGATAGAGGAGTTTTGAAACTCTCTTTTTGTAGTGTTTCCAAGTGGATATTTAGCACCGTTTGTGGCCTATGGAAGAAAATGCAATATCTTCATAGAAAAACTAGACAGAATGATTCTCAGAATCTACTTTGTGATGTGTGCATTCAACTCACAGAGTTTAAATTTTCTTTTGATAGAGCAGTTTTGAAACACTACATTTGTGGAATTTGCAAGTGCAAATATTTAGAGTGCTTTGAGGCCTATGGTCGAAAAGGAAATATCTTCACATAAAAACTAGACAGAAGGATTGTCAGAAACTACTTTGTGATATTTGCATTCAACCCACAGAGTTGAACATTGCTCTTGATAGAGCAGTTTTGAAATCCTCTTTTTGAGGAGTCTCCAATTGGATATTTGAACCTCTTTGTGGCCTTCGTTTTAAACGAGATTTCTTCATATAAAACTAGACAGAAGAATTCTCAGAAACTTCTTTGTGATGTGTGCATTGAACTCAGAGAGTTGAACCTTCCTTTCTATACAGAAGTTTTGAAACTCTCTTTTTTAGAATTTTCAAGTCGATATTTAGCGCCCTTTGAGGCCTAAGGTATGAGCGTTCAACTCACGGAATTTAACCTTTCTTTTGATAGAGCAGTTTTGAAATACTCTTTTTGTAGAATCTGCAAGTGAATATTTGGACGTTATTGAGAACTACGTTGGAAAGGGGATTTCTTCATATAAAAGTGGACAGAAGAATTCTCAGAAACTTCTTTGTGATGTGTGCATTCAATTCACAGTGTTCAACCTTCCTTTTGATAGAGCAGTTTTGAAGTACTCTTTTTATAGAATTTCCAATTGGAGAATTAGAGCGGTTCGAGGCCTATGGTAGAAATGGAAATATCTTCATAGAAAAACTAGAGAGAATCATTCTCAGAAAGTACATTGTGATGTGCGCATTCAGCTTTCAGTGTTTGAACTTTCTTTTGATAGAGCAGTTTTGAAACACTCTTTTTGTGGAATTTGCAACTGTCTATTTAGAGCGCTTTGAGGCCTATGTTAGAAAAGGGAATATCTTCACATGAAAACTAGACAGAAGCATTGTCAGAAACAACTTTGTGATATTTGCATTCAACTCACCGAGTTGAACATTTCTCTAGATAGAGCAGTTTTGAAACACTCTTTTTGTAGAGTCTGCAAGTGGATATTTGGAACTCTCTGTGGCCTTCGTTTGAAATGTAATTTCTTCATATAAAACTAGACAGAAGAATTCTCAGAAACCTCTTTGTGATGTGTGCTTTCAACTCACAGAGTTGAACCTTCATTTCAATAGAGCAGTTTTGAAACTCTCTTTTTGTAGAATTTCCAAGTGGATATTGAGTGCCGTTTGAACCCTACGGTATAAAACGCAACATCTTCACAGAAAAACTAGACAGAAAGATTCTAAGAAAATACTTTGTGATGTGTGCGTTCAACTCACAGAGTTTAACCTTTCTTTTGATAGAGCAGTTTTGAAACACTCTTTTTGTAGAATCTGCAAGTGAATATTTGAAATTTTTTGAGGACTTCTTTGGCAAAGGGATTTCTTCATATCAAACTTGACCGAAGAATTCTCAGAAACTTCTGTGTGATGTGTGCATTCAACTCACAGAGTTGAACCTTCCTTTCGATAGAGCAGTTTTGAAATACTCTTTTTGTAGAATATCCAAGTGGATATTTAGAGCGGTTTGAGGCCTGTGATAGAATAGGAAATATATTCATAGAAAAAGTAGATTGAATCTTTCTCAGAAACTACTTTGTGATGTGCGTATTCAGCTTACAGAGTTTAACCTTTCTTTTGATTAGAGCAGTTTTGAAACACTCTTTTTGGGTAATTTGCAAGAGTTTATTTAAAGTGCTTTGAGAACTGCTGTAGAAAATTAAACATCTTCACATAAAAACTATACAGATGCATTGTCTGAAACTACTTTTTGATATTTGCATTCAACTCACAGAGTTGAGCATTCCACTTGATAGAGCAGTTTTGAAACACTCTTTTTGTGGAATCTGCAAGTGGATATTTAGACCTCTTTGTGGCATTATTTTGAAACGTGGTTTCTTCATATAAATCTAGACAGAAGAATTCTCAGAAACTTCTTTGTTATGTGTGCTTTCAACTCACAGAGTTGAACCTTCTTTTCGATAGAGCAGTTTTGAAACTCTCTTTTTGTAGAATAATTTCCAACTGGATATTTAGCGCTATTTCAAACCAATGGTAGAAAAGGCAATATCTTCATAGAAAAATAAGGCAGAATGATTCTCAGAAACTACTTTGTGAAGTGTGCGTTCAGCTTACAGAGTTTAACCTTTCTTTTGATAGAGCAGTTCTGAAACAGTGTTTTTGTGGTATTTGCAAGGGTATATTTAGATCGTTTTGAGGCCTACGGCAGAAAAGGAAATCTCTTCACATAAAAACTAGACAGAAAGCTTGTCAGAAACTATTTTGTGATATATGCATTTAACTCACAGAGTTGAACATTCTTCTTGATAGAGCAGTTTTGAAGCCCTCTTTTTGCAGTTTCCGCAAGTGGATATTTGGAACTCCCTGTGGTCTTCGTTTGAAACGTGATTTCTTCATGTAAAACGTGACAGAAAAATTCTCAGAAACTTCTTTGTGTTGTGTGCATTCAACTCAAAGTGTTGAACCTTCCTTTCGATAGAGCAGTCTTGAAATACTCTTTTTGTAGAATTTCCAAGTGCATATTTACAGTGATTTCAGGTCTGTGGTAGAAAAGGAAATATCTTCATAGAAAAACTGATCGGAATCATTCTCAGATACTACTTTGTGATGTGTGCATTCCGCTTACAGAGTTTAACCTTTCTTTTGACAGAGTAGTTTTGGAACAAACTTTTTGTGCAATTTGGAAGTGCATATTTACAGCGCTTTGAGGCCTATGTTAGAAAAGGAAATATCTTCGCATTAAAACTAGACAGAAGCATTGTCAGAAACTACTTTGTGATACTTGCATACAACTCACCGAGTTGAACATTCCTCTTGATAGAGCAGTTTTGAAACACTCTTTTTGTAGAATCCGCAAGTTTATATTTGGACCTCTTTGTGTCCTTCGTTTGAAAAGAGGTTTATTTATATAAAACTAGACAGAAGAATTCTCAGAAACTTCTTTGCGATGTGTGCTTTGAGCTCCTGGAGTTGAACTTTAATTTTGATAGAGCAGTTTTGAAACTCTCCTTTTGTACTATTTCCAAGTGGATATTTAGCGCCGTTTGAGGCATATGGTAGAAAAGGCAATATCTTCATAGAAAAACTAGACAGAATGATTCTCAGAAACTACTTTGTGATGTGTGCGTTCAACTCACAAAGTTTAAGCTTTCTTTTGATAGATCAGTTTTGAAACACTCTTTTTGTAGAATCTGCAAGTGAATATTTGGAATTTTTATAGGGCTTCGTTGGAAACGGGATTACTTCATATAAAACCTGACAGAAGAACTCTCAGAATCTTCTTTGTGATGTTTGCATTCAACTCACAGAGTTGAACCTTCCTTTCTGTAGAGCAGTTTTGAAATACTCTTTTTGTAGAATTTCCAAGTGGATATTTAGAGCGGTTTGAGGACTCTGGTAGAAAAGGAAATATCTTCATAGAAAAACTAGACAAAATCATTCCCAGAAACTATTTTGTGTTGTGTGCATTCAGCTTACAGAGTTTAACCTTTCTTTTGATAGAGCAGTTTTGAAACCCTCCTTTTGTGTAATTTGCAAGTGTATATTTAGAGTATTTTGAGGCCTACAGTAGAAAAGGAAATACCTTCACATAAAAACAGATAGAAGCATTGTCAGAAACTCCTTTGTCATGTGGGCATTCTACTCACAGAGTTGAACATTCTTTTCAATAGAGCAGTTTTGAAATACTCTTTTTGTAGAATTTCCAAGTGGATATTAAGAACTGTTTGAGGCCTCTTGTGGAAAGGGAAATATCTTCATAGAAATCTAGACAGAATCATTCTCAGAAACTGCTTTGTGATATTTGCATTCAACTCATAGAGTTGAACATTCGTCTTGATAGAGCAGTTTTGAAACACTCTTTTTATAGAATCTGCAACTGGATATTTGGACTTCTTTGTGGCCTTCGTTTGAAACGTGATTTCTTGATATAAAACGTGACAGAAGAACTCTCAGAAACTTCTTTGTGATGTGTGCATTCAATTCACACAGTTGAACCTTCCTTTCAATAAAGCAGTTTTGAAATACTCTTTTTGTAGAATTTCCAAGTGGAAATTTTGCGCCCTTTGAGGCCTAAGATATTAAAGGCAATATCTTCATAGAAAAATTAGACAGAATTATTCTCACAAACTACTTTGTGATGTGTGCATTCAGATTAAAGTGTTTAACCATTCTTTTGATAGAGCAGTTTTGAAACACTCTTTTTGTAAAATCTGCAAGTGGATATTTTGACCTCTTTGTGGCCTTCGTGTGAAACGTGATTTCTTCATATAAAACTAGACAGAAGAATTCTCAGAAACTTCTTTGTGATGTGTGCTTTCAACTCACAGAGTTGAACCTTCCTTTCGATAGAGCAGTTTTGAAACTCTCTTTCTGTAGAATTTCCAAGTGGTTATTTAGAGCGGATTGAGGCCTGTGGTACAAAACGAAATATCTTCTTAGAAAAACTAGAGAGAATGATTCTCAGAAACTACTTTTTGATGTGTGCATTCAACTCACAGAGTTTAAAATTTCTTTTGATAGAGCAGTTTTGAAACACTCTTTTTGTAGAATCTGCAAGTGAATATTTGGGCTTTTTGGAGGCCTTCATTGGAAACGGGATTTCTTCATATAGAACTTGACAGAGAAATTCTCAGAAACTTCTTTGTGATGTGTGCTTTCACCTCACAGAGTTGAACCTTCCTTTTGATAGAGCAGTTGTGAAATAATCTTTTTGTGCAAATTCCAAGTGGATATTTAGAGCGGTTTGTGGCCTGTGGTAGAAAAGGAAATTTCTTCATGGAGAAACTAGCCAGAATCATTCTCAGAAACTACTTTGTGGTTTGTGCGTTCTATACGCAGAGTTTAACCCTCCTGTTAATAGAGTAGTTTTGAAACGCTCTTTTTGTAGCATTTGTAAGCGTGTATTTAGAGGGCTTTTAGGCCTACGGTAGAAAAGGAAATATCTTCATATAAAAACTAGACAGAAGCATTCTCAGAAACTACTTTGTGATGTTTTCATTCAACTCACAGAGTTCAACCTTCCCTTTGATAGATCAGTTTTGAAACACTCTTTTTGTAGAATCTGCAAGTGGATATTTGGACCTCTTTGAGGCCTTCTCTGGTAACGGTAATTTCTTCACATAAAAATTAGACAGAAGAATTCTCAGAAAGATTTGTGACTTGTGCCTTCAACTCACAGAGTTGAACCTTCCTTTCGATAGTGCAGTTTGATACACTTTTTGTAGAATTTCCACGTGGATATTTAGAGCTCTTTTCAAAGCCTACGGTAGAAAAGGAAATATCTTCATATTAAAACTACACAGAATTATTCTCAGAAGCTACTTTGTGATGTGTGCGTTCAACTCACAGAGTTTAACCTTTCTTTTCATAGAGCAGTTTTGGAACACTCTTTTTGTAAAATTTGCAATTGTATATTTAGAGAGCTTTGAGGCCAACAGTAGAAAAGAAAATATCTTCATATAAAAATTAGACGGAATCATTCTCAGAAACTACTATGTGATGTGTGCTTTCAACTCACAGAGTTTAACCTTTCTTTTGATAGAGCAGTTTTGAAACACTCTTTTTGTACACTTTGCAAGTGTATATTTAGAGTGCTTTGGGGCCTATGGTAGAAAAGGAAATATCTTCACATAAAACAATACAGAAGCATGCTCAGAAACTACTTTGTAATGTTTGCATTCACCTCACAGAGTTGAATATTCCTCTTGATACAGCAGCTTTTAAACACAATTTTTGTACTATCTGCAAGTGGATATTTGGACCTCTTTGAGGCCTTCGTTGGAAAAGGTATTTCTTCATATAAACAAGACAGTAGAATTCTCGGAAACTACATTTTCATGGGTGTGTTCAACTCACAGAGTTTAAACTTTCTTTTGATAGAGCAGTTTTGAAACACTCTTTACATAGAATTTGCAAGTGTACATTTATAGTGCTTTGAGGCCTATGGTAGAAAAGGAAAAATCTTCAGATAAATACTAGACAGAAGCAATCTCAGAAACTACTTTGTGATGTTTGCATTCAACTTACAGAGTTGAACAGTCCACTTGATAGAGCAGTTTTGAAACCCTCTTTTTAGAGAATCTGCAAGAAGGTATTTGGACCTCCCTGAGGCCTTCGTTGGAAACGAGATTTCGTCATATAAAAAAAGACAGAAGAATTCTCAGAAAGTTTTATGTGAAATGTGCTTTCAACTCACAGAGTTGAATCTTCCTTTCCATAGAGCAGTTTTGGAACCCTCATTTTTTAGAATTTCCTAGTGGATATTTACATCATTTTGAGTCCTATGGTAAAAAAGGAAATATCTTCATAGAAAAACTAGACAGAATGATTCTCAGAAACTACTTTGTGATGTGTGCGTTCGACTCACAGTGCTTAAATTTCTTTTGATATAGCTGTTTTGAAACACTCTTTACGTAGAATTTGCAAGTGTACATTTATAATGTCTTGAGACCTATGGTAGAAAAGGAAATATCTTCTTAGAAAAACTAGACAGAATCATTCTCAGATACTTCTTTGTGATGTGTACATTCAGCTTACAGAGTTTAACCTTTCTTTTGATAGAGCAGTTTTGAAACACTCTTTTTGTGTAATTTGCAAGTGTATAATTAGAGCGCTTGGAGGCCTATGGTAGAAAAGAAAATATCTTCACATAAAAACTAGACTAGACAGAACCATTGTCGGAAACTACTTTTTGATATTTGCATTCAACTCACCGAGTTGAATATTCCTCTTGATAGATCAGTTTTGAAACACTCTTTTTGTGAAATCTGCAAGTGGATATTTGGAACTCTTTGAGGCCTTCATTGGAAACGGGGTTTCTTCATATAAAACTACATAGAAGAATTCTCAGAAACTTCTTTGTGATGTGTGCATTGAACTCACAGTGTTGAAACTTCCTTTCGACAGAGCAGTTTTGAAACACTCTTTTTGTACAATTTCCAAGGGAATATTTAGAGCTCTTGGAAGCCTATGGTAGAAAAGGAAATATCTTCATACAAAAACTAGACAGAATCATTCTCAGAAACTACTTTGTGATGTATGCGTTTAACTAGCCGAGTTTAACCTTTCTTTTTTTTTTTTTTTTTTTTTTTTTTTTTTTTGAGACAGATTCTCGCTCTGTCGCCCAGGCTGGAGTGCAGTGGCGGGATCTCGGCTCACTGCAAGCTCCGCCTCCCAGATTCACGCCATTCTCCTGCCTCAGCCTCCCAAGTAGCTGGGACTACAGGCGCCCGCCACTACGCCCGGCTAATTTTTTGTATTTTTAGTAGAGACGGGGTTTCACCGTTTTAGCCGGGATGGTCTCGATCTCCTGACCTCGTGATCTGCCCGCCTCGGCCTCCCAAATACTGGGATTACCGGCGTGAGCCACCGCGCCCGGCCGGAGTTTAACCTTTCTTTTGAGGGAGCAGTTTTGAAAAGCTCTTTTTGTAGAATTTGCCAGTGTGTATTTAGAGGGATTTGTGGCTTATGTTAGAAAACTAAATATCTTCATATAAAAACTAGACAGAATCATTCTCAGAAACTGCTTTGTGATGTTTGCATTCAACTCACAGAGTTGAACATTCCTCTTGATAGAGCAGTTTTGAAACACTCTTTTCGTAGTAACAGCAAGTTGATATGAGGACCTCCTTAAGGCCTTCATTGGAAACGGGATTTCTTCATATAAAACTAGACAGAAGAATTCTCAGAAACTATTTTGTGATGTGCGCGTTGAACTCACAGAGTTTAAACTTTGTATTTGTAGAGCAGTTTTCAAACGCTCTTTTTGAAGAATTTGCAAGTCTATATTTACAGTGCTTTGAGGTCTATTGTAGAAAAGGGAATATCGTCACATAAAAACTAGAAGAAGCATTCTCAGAAACTACTTTCTGATGTTTGCATTCAACTCCCAGAGCTGAACATTCCTCTTCATAGAACAGTTTTTAAACACTCTTTTTGAAGAGTCTGCAACGGGATATTTGTACTTGTTTGAGGCCTTCGTTTGAAACGGGATTTCTTCATGTAAAACAAGACAGAGGAATTCTCAGTAGCTTCTTTGTGATGTGTGCATTCAAATCACAGTGTTGAACTTTCCTTTCGATAGAGCAGTTTTCAAACACTCATTTTGTAGAATTTGCAAGTGGATATTTATTTCGGTTTGAGTCCTATGGTAGAAAAGGTAATATCTTCATAGAAAAACTAGACAGAATGATTCTCAGAAACTACATTGTGATGTGTGCGTTCAACTCACAGAGTTTAAACTTTCTATTGATAGAGCAGTTTTGAAAAGCTCTTTTTGTAGAATTTGCAAGTGTATATTTAGAGTGCTTTGAGGCCTATGGAAGAAAAGGATATATCTTCACAAAAAAACTAGACAGAAGCATTCTCAGAAACTATTTTGTGATATATACATTCAACCCACGGAGTTGAACATTTCTCTTGATAGAGCAGTTTCGAAACACTCTTTTTGTAGAATCTGCAAGTGGATATTTGGACCTATTTGAGGCCTTCGTTGGAAACTGGATTTCCTCATATAAAACTAGACAGAAGAATTCTCAGAAACTTCTTTGTGATGTGTGCATTGAACTTACACATTTGAGCTTTCCTTTTGTTAGAGCAGTTTTGAAACACTCTTATTGTACAATTTCCAAGTCAATATTTAGAGTGCTTGGAGGCCTATGGTAGAAAAGGAAATATCTTCATAGAAAAACAAGACAGAATCAGTCTCAGAAACTACTTTGTGATGTGTGCATTAAACTTGCAGAGTTTAAACTTTCTTTTGATAGAGCAGCTTTGAAATGCTCTTTTTGTGGAATTTGCAAGTGTGTATTTAGATGGCTTTCAGTCCTATAGTAGAAAAGGTAATATCTTCATATAAAAATTAGACAGAAGCATTCTCAGAAACTACTTTGTGTTGTTTGCGTTCAACTCACAGAGTTGAACATTCCTCTTGATAGAGCAGTTGTGAAACACTCTTTTTGTAGACTCTGCAACTGGATATTTTGACCTCTTTAATGCATTCTTTGGAAAAGGGATTTCTTCATATAAAACTAGATAGAAGAATTCTCAGTAACTATTTTGTAATGTGTGCTTCCAACTCACATAGTTTAAAATTTCTATTGATAGAGCAGTTTTGAAACGCTCTTTTTGCAGAATTTGCAAGTTTATATATACAGCACTTTGAGGCCTTTTGAAGAAAAGGAAATATCATCACATTAAAACTAGACAGAAGCACTCTCAGAAACTAATTTGTGATGTTTGCATTCAACTAAAAGAGCTGAACATTCCTCTTCATAGAGCAGTTTTGAAACACTCTTTTTGTACAATCTGCAAGGGAATATTTGGACGTTTTTGAGATATTCGTTGGAAACCGGATTTCTTCATATAAAAATTGACGGAAGAATTCTCAGAAACTTCTTTGTTATGTGTGCGTTCAACTCACAGAGTTAAACCTTCCTTTCAATAGAGCAGTTTTGAAACACTATTCCTGAAGTATTTCCAAGTGGATATTTACAGCGGTTTGAGGCCTATGGTTGAAAAGGCTGTATCTTCCCATAAAAACTAGACAGAAGCATTCTCAGAAACTACTTTGTGATGTTTGCATTCACCTCACAGAGTTGAACATTCCTCTTGATAGAGCAGTTTTGAAACACACTTTTTGTAGCATCTGCAAGAGGATATTTAGACCTCTTTGAGTCCTTCGTTGGAAACGGGGTTTCTTCATATAAAACTAGACAGAACATTTCTCAGAAACTTTTTTTGTGATGTGCGCATTCAACTCAAAGAGATGAACCTTCCTTTCCATAGAGCAGTTTTGAAACACTCTTTTTGTAGAAATTCCAAGTGGATATTTAGAGCGCTTTGAGTCCTACTAGGCAGAATGATTCGCAGAAACTACTTCGTGATGCGTGCGTTCTATTCAAAGAGTTTAACTTTTCTTTTGATAGAGCGGTATTGAAACACTCTTTTCGTAGAATTTGCAAGTGGATATTTAGAGTGATTTGAGGCCTAAGGTAGAAAAGGGAATATCTTCACATAAAAACTAGACAGAAGCATTGTCAGAAACTACTTCGTGATGTTTGCATTCAACAAACTGAGTTGAACATTCCTCTTGATAGAGCAGTTTTTGTACACTCTTTTTGTAGAATCTGCAAGAGGATATTTGGACCTCTTTGAGGCCTTCGTTGTAAACGGGATTTCTTCATATAAAACTAGACAGAAGAATTCTCGGAAACTTTTTTGTGATGTCTGCATTCAAATCACAGATTTGAACCCTCCTTTCCATAGAGCAGTTTTGAAACAATCTTCTTGTAGTATTTCCAAGTGGATATTTAGAGCGATTTGAGGCCTATGGAAGAAGAGGAAATATCTTCACATGAATGCTAGACAGAATCATTCTCAGAAACTACCTTCTGATGTGTGCGCGTTCAACTCACAGAGTTTAACCTTTGTTTTGATAGAGCAGTTTTGAAACCCTCTGTAAAATCTGCAAGTAGATATTTGGAGTGCTTTGTGGCCTTCTTTGAAAGCGGGAGTATCTCCACATAAAAAGTAAACTGTAGTATTCTCAGAAACTTCTTTTTGATGTCTGCACTCAACTCACAGAATTGAACCTTCCTTTTGATAGAGCAGTTTTGAAACACTCTTTTGTAGAATTTGCATGTGGATATTTAGAGCGCTTTGTGGCCCATGGTGGAAAAGGAAATATGTTCAAAGGAAAACTACACAGAAGCATTCTAAGAAACTACTTTGTGACGGGTGCGTTCAACTCAAAGAGTTTAAACATTCTTTTGATAGAGCAGATTAGAAACACTCTTTTTGTTCAATTTGCTAGTGTATATTTCAACCGCTTCGAGGCCTATGTTAGAAAAGGAAATATCTGCACATAAAAACTGGACAGTAGCATTGTCAGAAACTACTTTTGATGTTTGCAATCAACTCACAGAGTTGAACATTCCTCTTGTTAGAGCAGTTTTGAAACCCTCTTTTTGTAGAATCTGCAAGTGAATATTTGGACCTTTTTGAGGCCATCTTTGGAAACGGGATTTCTTCATGTAAAACTAGACAGGAGAATTCTCAGAAACTTCTTTGTGATGTGTGCACTCAACTCACAGAGTTGAACCTACATTTCGAATGAGCAGTTATGAAACACTCTTTTTGTAGAATTTCCTAGTGGATATATAGAGCGGTTTGAGGCCTATGGTAGAAACGGAAATATCTTCATAGAAAAACTAGGCAGAATGATTCTCAGAAACTAATTTGTGATGTGTGGGTTCAACTCACAGTGTTTAACCTTTCTTTCGATAGAGCAGTTTTGAAACACTCTTTTTGTAGAATTTGCAAGTGTATACTTATTGTGCTTTGAGTCCTATGGTAGAAAAGGAAATACCTTCAC
The DNA here is from genome assembly GCF_000001405.40 of Homo sapiens. Taxonomy (NCBI): domain Eukaryota; kingdom Metazoa; phylum Chordata; class Mammalia; order Primates; family Hominidae; genus Homo; species Homo sapiens. Next base: position 90,503,218 of record NC_000003.12, on the reverse strand, counting down.
ATAAAAACTAGACAGAAGCATTATCAGAAACTATTTTGTGATGTGTGCATTCAACTCACATAGTTTAACCTTTCTTTTGATAAAGCAGTTTTGAAACCCTCTGTTGGTAAAGGCTTCAAGTAGATATTTAGAGCGCTTTGAGGACTAATTTAGAAACTCGAGTATCTTCACATAAAAATAGACGGAAGTATTCTCAGAAACTTCTTTGTGATGTCTGCACTCATCTCACAGAGTTGAACCTTCCATTTGATAGAGCAGTTTTGAAAGGCTCTTTTTTTAGAATTTGCAAGTGTGTATTTAGGGGGATTTTAGGCCTGTGATAGAAAAGAAAATATCTTCATATTAAAACTAGACAGAAGCATTCTGAGAATACAATTTGTGATGCTTGCATTGAACTCACAGTGTTCAACATTCCTTTTGATAGAGCAGTTTTGAAACACCTTTTTTTAGGATCTGCAAGTGGATATTTGGACCTCTTTGATTCCTTCGTTAGAAACGGGAATTTCTTCACATAAAAAGTAGACAGAAGTATTCTCAGAAACTTCTTTCTGATGTCTGCACTCAACTCACAGAGTTGAACGTTCCTTTTGATGGAGCAGTATTGAAACACTCTTTTTGTAGAATTTGCAATTGTTTATTAAGAGCCCTTTGATGCCTATGGAAGAAAAGGAAATATCTTCACATAAATACTACACAGAATCATTCTCATAAACTACTTTGTGATGTGTGCGTTAAATTCACAGAGTTTAACCTTTCTTTTGATACAGCAGTTTTGAAACCCTTTCTTTGTAAAGTCTGCAAGTAGATATTTGGAGCGCTTTGAGGCCTTATTTGGAAACGGGAGTATCTGCACATAAAAAGTAGACAGAAGTAGTCTCAGAAACTTCTTTGTGATGTCTGCACTCAGCTCACGGAGTTGAACTTTCTTTTTGATAGAGCAGTTTTGAAACGCGCCCTTGTAGAATTTGCAAGTGGATATTTAGAGCGCTTTGCGTCCTATGGTGGAAAAGGAAATATGTTCAAAGGAAAAGGAAATATGTTCAAAGGAATGCTTCTGTGAGAAGCATTCTAAGAAACTTCTTTGTGATGGGTGCATTCAACTCACAGAGTTTAAACATTCTTTTGATAGAGCAGCTTAGAAACACTCTTTTTGTGGAATTTGCAAGTGTATATTTAGACCGCTTCAAGGCCTATGTTATAAAAGGAAATATCTGCACGTAAAAACTGGACAGTAGCATTGTCAGAAACTACTTTTGATGTGTGCACTCAATTCACAGCGTTGAACATTCCTTTCGATAGAGCAGTTTTGAAACACTCTTTTTGTAGAATTTTCTAGACGATATATAGAGCGGTTTGAGGCCTATGGTAGAAAAGGAATATTTTCATAGAAAAACTAGGCAGAATGATTCTCAGAAGCTAATTTTTGATGTGTGTGTTCAACTCACAGTGTTTGACCTTTCTTTTGAAAGAGCAGTTTTGAAACACTCTTTTTGTAGAATTTGCAATTGTATACTTAGTGTGCTTTGAGTCCTATGGTAGAAAAGGAAATACCTTCACATAAAAACTAGACAGAAGCATTCTCAGAAACTACTTTGTGATGTGTGCGTTCAACTCACAGAGTTTAACCTTTCTTTTGATAGAGAAGTTTTGAAACCCTCTGTTTGTAAAATCTGCAGGTAGATATTTGGAGTGCTTTGAGGCCTTCTTTGGAAACGGGAGTATCTCTACATAAAAAGTAAACTGTAGTATTCTCAGAAACTTCTATGTGATGTCTGCACTCAACTCACAGAGTTGAACCTTCCTTTTGATAGAGCAGTTTTGAAACACTCTTTTGTAGAATTTGCAAGTGGATATTTAGAGTGCTTTGTGGCCTATGATGGAAAAGGAAATATGTTCAAAGAAAAACTACACAGAAGCATTCTAAGAAACTACTTTGTGATGGGTGCATTCAACTCACAGAGTTTAAACATTCTTTTGAAAGAGCACCTTAGAAACACTCTTTTTGTGGAATTTGCAAGTGTATATTTAGACCGCTTCGGGGCCTATGTTAGAAAAGGAAATATCTGCACATATAAACTGGACAGTAGCATTGTCAGAAACTACGTTTGATGTTTGCAGTCAACTCACAGTGTTGAACATTCGTCTTGATAGAGCAGTTTTGAAACCCTCTGTTGGTAAAGGCTACAAGTAGATATTTGGAGCGCTTTGAGTCCTTATTTGGAAACTGGAGTATCTTCACACAAAAGGTAGACAGAAATATTCTCAGAAACTTCTTTGTGATGCCTGCACTCATCTCACAGAGTTGAACATTCCTTTCGATAGAGCAGTTTTGATAGGCTCTTTTTGTAGAATTTGCACGTGTGTATTTAGAGGGCTTTTTGGCCTATGGTAGAAAAGGAAATATCTTAAAATAAATACTAGACAGAAGCATTCTCAGAAACTAATTTGTGATGCTTGCGTTCAACTCACAGTGTTCAACATTCCTTTTGATAAAGCAGTTTTGAAACACCTTTTTTCTATGATCTGCAAGTGGATATTTGGACGTCTTTGATTCCTCCGTTGGAGACGGGAATTTCTTCACATAAAAAGTAGACAGAAGTATTCTCAGAAACTTCTTTCTGATGTCTGAACTCAACTCATAGAGTTGAACCTTCCTTTTGATGGAGCAGTATTGAAACACTCTTTTTGTAGAATTTGCGATTGTTTATTAAGAGCCCTTTGAGGCCTATGGAAGAAAAGGAAATATCTTCATATAAACAATAGACAGAATCATTCTCAGAAACTACTTTGTGATGTGTGCATTAAACTCACAGAGTTTAACCTTTCTTTTGATAGAGCAATTTTGAAACACTCTTTTTCTAGAATTTGCAAGTGTGTATTTAGAGCGCTTTGAGGCCTTTGGTAGAAAAGGAAATATCTTCACATAACAACTAGACAGAAGCATTCTCAGAAACTACTCTGTGATGTTTGCATTCAACTCACAGAGTTGCACATTTCTCTTGATAGAGCAGTTTTGAAACACTCTTCTTATAGAATCTGCAAATGGATATTTTGACCTCTTTGAGGCCTTCATTGGAAACGGGATTTCTTCATGTAAAATTAGACAGAAGAACTTTCAGAAACTTCTTTGTGATGTGTCCATTCAACTCACAGAGTTGAACCTTCCTTTTGATAGAGCAGATTTGCAACTCTCTTTTTGAAGAATTTGCAAGTGGATATTTAGAGCACTTTGAATCCAATGGTAGAAAAGGAAATATCTTCATATAAAAACTAGACAGAAGCATCCCCAGAAACTACTTTGTGATGTGTGCCTTCAACTCACGGAGTTTAACCTTTCTTTTGATAGAGCAGTTTTGAAACACTCAATTTGTAATGTCTGCATCTGGATATTTGGAGCGCTGTGAGGTTTTCTTTGGAAACGGGAGTATCTTCACATAAAAAGTAGACAGATGTATTCTCAGAAACTTCTTTGGGATATCTGTACTCAACTCACAGAGGTAAAAATTCCATTTGACGGAGTATTTTGAAACACTCTTTTTGTAGAGTTTGCAAGTGGATATTTAGAGCACTTTGAGGCCTATTGTAGAAAAGGAAATATCTTAACATAAAAACTAGACAGAAGCATTCTCAGAAACTATTTAGTGATGTTTGCATTCAACTCACAGAGTTGAACATTCCTCTTGATAGAACAGTTTTGAAACACTCTTTTTGTAGAATTTGCAAGTGGATATTTAGAGCGCTTTAAGGACTATGGTAGAAAAGGAAATATCTTCATATAAAAATGAGACAGAATCATTCTCAGAAAATATTTTGTGATGTGTGCATTCAACTCACTGAGTTTAACCTTTCTTTTTATAGAGCAGATTTGAAACACTCTTTTTGTAGAATTTGCAAGTTGATATTTAGAGCGCTTTGAATCCTGTGGTAGAAAAGGAAATATCTTCATATAAAAAATAGACAGAATGATTCCCAGAAGCTACTTTGTGATGTTTGTGTTCAACTCACAGAGTTTAACCTTTCTTTGATAGAGCAGTTTTGAAACACTCTGTTTGAAAATTCTGCATCTTGATATTTGGAGCGCTTTGAGGTTTTCTTTATAAACTTAAATATCTTCACACAAAAAGTAGACAGAAGTATTCTCAGAAACGTCTTTGTGATGTCTGTACTCAACTCACAGAGGTGAACCTTCCTTTTGATAGAGCAGTTTGAAACACTTTTTTTGTAGAGTTTGCATGTGTGTATTTAGAGAGCTTTGAGGCCTATGGTAGAAAAGGAAATATCTTCACATAAAACTAGACAGAAGCATTCTCAGAAACTACTTTGTGATGTTTGCATTCAACTAACAGAATTGAACATTCCTCTTGACAGTGCAGTTTTGAAACACTCTTTTTGTAGAATCTGCAAGTGGATATTTGGACCTCTTTGTGGCCTTCGTTGGAAACGGGATTTCTTCAAATAAAACCAGACACAAGAATTGTCAGAAACTTCTTTCTGATTCGTGCATTCAACTCACAGAGTTGAAACTTCCTTTTGATAGTGCAGATTTGAAACACTCTTTTTGTAGAATTTCCAAGTGGATATTTAGAGCACTTTGAATCCTATGGTAGAAAAGGAAATATCTTCATGTAAAAACTAGACAGAATCATTCCCAGAAACTACTTTGTGTTGTGTGCGTTCAACTCCAAGAATTTACATTTCTTTTGATAGAGCAGTTTTGAAACTCTCTGTTTGTAAGTCTGCATCTGGATATGTGGAGCGCTTTGAGGGTTTCATTGGAAACGGGAATATCTTCACATAAAAAGCAGACAGAAGTATTCTCAGAAACATCTTTGTGATGTCTGTACTCAACTCACTGAGGTGAACCTTCCTTTTGATAGAGCAGTTCTGAAACACTCTTCTTGTAGACTTTGCAAGTGGATATTTAGAGCGCTTTGAGGCTCATGGTAGATAAGGAAATATCTTCACATAAAAACTAGACAGAAGCATTCTCAGAAACTACTTTGTGATGTTTGCATTCAACTCAGAGAGTTGAACATTCTTCTTGATAGAGCAGTTTTGAAACACTCTTTTTGTAGAATCTGCAAGTGGATATTTGGACCTCTTTGAGACCTTCATTGGAAATGGGATTTCTTCACATAAAACTAGACGGAAGAATTCTCAGAAACTTCTTTGTGAGGCGTGCGTTCACTCACAGAGCTGAACCTTCCTTTTGATAGAGCAGATTTGAAAAACACTTTTTGTAGTATTTCCACGTCGATATTTAGAGTGCTTTGAATCCTTGGGTAGAAAAGGAAATATCTTCATATAAAAACTAGACAGAATCATTCCCAGAAACTACTTTGTGATGTATGCGTTCAACTCACAGGGTTTAACCTTTCTTTGATAGAGCAGTTTTGAAACCCTCGGTGTGAAAAGTCTGCATCTGGATATTTGGAGTGCTTTGAGGTATTCTTATGAAATGGGAATATCTTCACATAAAAAGTAGATGGAACTATTCTCAGAAACTTCTTTGGGATATCTGTACTCAACTCAGAGAGCTAAAAATTCCTTTTGTTGGAGCACTTTGAAACACTCTTTTTGTAGAGTTTGCAAGTGGATATTTAGAGCACTTTGAGGTCTATGGTAGAAAAGGAAATATCTTCACATAAAAACTAGACAGAAGCATTCTCAGAAACTACTTTTTATTGTTTGCATTCAACTCACAGAGTTGAACTGTTCTTGATAGAACAGTTTTGAAACACTCTTTTCGTAGTATCTGCAAGTGGATATTTGTACATCTTTGAGGCCTTCGTTGGAAACGAGATTTCTTCATATAAAACTAGACAGAAGAATTCTCAGAAACTTCTTTGTAATGCATGCATTCAACTCACAGAGTTGAACCTGCCTTTTGATAGAGCAGATTTCAAACACTCTTTTTGTAGAATTTCCAAGTGAGTATTTAGAAGGCTTTGAATCCTATGGTAGAAAATGAAATATCTTCATATAAAAACTTGACATAATCATTCCCAGAAACTACATTGTGATGTGTGCATTTAACTCACTGATTTGAACCTTCCTTTTGATGGAGCAGATTTGAAACCCTCTTTTTGTAGAATTTACAAGTGGATATTTAGTGCGTTCTGAATCATATGGTTGAAAAAAGTATCCTCATATAAAACTAGACAGAATAACTCCCAGATACTACTTTGTGATGTGTATGTTCAACTCACGTTGTTTTACTTTCCTTTGATAGAGCAGTTTTGAAACACTCTGTTTGTAATGTCTGCATCTGGATATTTGGAGCGCTTTGAGGTTTTCTTTGGAAACGGGAATATCTTCACATAAAAAGTAGACAGAAGTATTCTCAGAAACTTTTTTGTGATGTCTGTACTCAACTCACAGAGGTGAACCCTCCTTTTGATAGGGCAGTTTTGAAACACTCTTTTTGTAGATTTTGCACGTGGATATTTAGAGCTCTTTGAGGCCTATGGTAGAAAATGAAATATTTTCATATTAAACTTGACTGAATCATTCTCAGAAACTATTTTGTGATTTGTGCATTCAACTCACTGAGTTTAACTTTTCTTTTGATACAGTAGTTTTGAAACAGTCTTTTGTAGAATTTGCAAATGTGTGTTTAGAGCGCTTTGAGGGCTATGGTAGAAAAGGAAATATCTTCTCATAAATACTGGATAGAGGCATTCTCAGAAACTGCTTTGTGATGTTTGCATTCAACTCACAGAGTTGAACACTCCTCTTGATAGAGCAGTTTTGAAACACCATTTTTGGAGGATATGCAAGTGGATATTTGGACCTCTTTGAGGCATTCATTGGAACGGGATTTCTTCATATAAAACTAGACAGAAGAATTATCAGGAAATTCTTTGTCATGTGTGCATTCAACTCACCAAGTTAAACCTTCCTTTTCATAGAGCAGATTCGAAATATTCTTTTTGAAGTATTTCCAAGTGGATATTTAGAGAGCTTTGAATCGTATGGTAGAAAATGAAATATCTTCATATAAAAAGTGGACAGAATCATTCCCAGAAACTACTTTGTGATGTGTTTGTTCAAATCACGGAGTTTAAACTTTCTTTTGATAGAGCAGTTTTGAAACACTCTGTTTGTAAAGTCTGCACCTGGATAATTGGAGCGCTTTGAGGTTTTCTTTGGAAACGGGTATATCTTCACATAAGAAGTACACAGAAGTATTCTCAGAAACTTCTTTGTGATGTCTGTACTCAATTCACAGCGGTGAACCTTCCTTTTGATAGAGCAGTTTTGAAACACTCTTTTTGAAGAATTTCCAAGTGGATATTTAGGGTGCTTAGAGGCCTATGGTAGAAAATGAAATACTTTAATATAAAAACTAGACAGAATCATTCTCAGAAACTACTTTTTGATGTGTGCATTCAACACACTGAGTTTAAATTTTCTTTTGATAGAGCAGTTTTGAAACAGTCTTTATGTAGAATTTGCAAGTGTGAATTTAGAGTGCTTTGAGAACTATGGTAGAAAAGAAATATCTTCACATAAATACTACAGAGAAACATTGTCAGAAACTACTTTGTGATGTGTGCATTCAACTCACAGAGTTGAACATTCCTCTTGATAGAGCAGTTTTGAAACACTCTTTTTGAAGAATCTGAAATAGGATACTTGGACCTCATTGAGGCCTTCTTTGGAATCGGATTTTCTTCATGTAAAACTAGTCTGAAGAATTCTCAGAAACTTCTTTTTGATGTGTGCATTCAACTCACATAGTTGAACCTTCCTTTGATAGAGCAGATTTGAAACACTCTTTTTGTAGAATTTCAAAGTGGATATTTAGAACGCTTTGAATCCTATCGTAGAGAAGGAAATATCTTCATATAAAAACTAGTCAGAAGAATTCTCAGAAACATCTTTTTGATGTGTGCATTCAACTCACATAGTTGAAACTCCCTTTTGATAGAGCAGATTTGAAACTCTCTTTTTGTAGTATTTCCAAGTGGATATTTAGAGCGCCTTGAATCCTAAGGGAGAAAAGGAAATATCTTCATATAAAAACTAGAGAGAATCATTCCCAGAAACTAATTTGTGATGTGTGCGTTCAACTTACAGAGTTTAACTTTTCTTTTGACAGAGCAGTTTGGAAACACTCTGTTTTTAAAGTCTGGATCTGGATATTTGGAGCGCATTGAGGTTTTCATGGAAACGGGAATATCTTCACATAAAAAGTAGATAGACGTATTCTTAGAAACTTTTTGTGATGTCTGTATTCAACTCACCAAGGTGAACGTTCCTTTTGACAGAGCAGTTTTGAAACACTCTTTTTGTAGAGTTTGCAAGAGGATATTTAGAGCGATTTGAGGCCTATTGTGGAAAAGGAAATATCTTCACATAAAAACTAGTCAGAAGCATTCTCAGAAACTACTTTGTGATGTTTGCATTCAACTCACGTATTTGAACATTCCTCTCTATTGAGCATTTTTGAAACACTCTTTTAGTGGGATCTGCAAGTGTATATTTGGACCTCTTTGAGGCCTTCCTTGGAAAAAGGATTTCTTCATATAAACTAGACAGAAGACTTCTCAGAAACTTCTCTGTGATGTGTGCATTCAACTCACAGTGTTGAAACTTCCTTTTGATAGAGCAGATTTCAAACACTCTTTTTGTAGAATTTCCAAGTGAATATTTAGAGGGCTTTGAATCCTATGGTAGAAAATGAAATACCTTCATATAAAAACTAGACAGAATCATTCCCAGAAACTACTTTGTGATGTATGCATTCAACTCACAGAATTGAACCTTCCTTTTGATGGAGCAGATTTGAAACACTCTTTTTGTAGAATTTACAAGTGGATATTTAGAGCGCTTTGAATCATATGGTTGAAAAAAAATATCTTCATATAAAACTAGACAGAAGAACGCCCAGAAACTACTTTGTGATGTGTGCGTTCAAATCACAGAGTTTAACCTTTCCTTTGATAGAGCAGTTTTGAAACCCTCTGTTTGTAATCTCTGCATCTGGATATTCGGAGCGCTTTGAGGTTTTCTTTGGAAACAAGAATATGTTCACATTAAAAGTAGACAGAAGTATTCTCAGAAACTTCTCTGTGATGTCTGTACTCAAGTCACAGAGGTGAACCTTCCTTTTGATAGAGCAGTTTTGAAACAATCTTTTTGCAGGGTTTGCGAGTGGATATTTAAAACGCTTTGAGGCCTAAGGTAGAAAAGGAAATATCTTCATATAAATACTAGACAGAATCATTCTCAAAAACTACTTTTTGATGTGTGCGTTCAGCTCACACAGTTTAACATTTCTTTTGATAGTGCAGTTTCGAAACACTCTGTTTGTAAAGTCTGCATCTGGATATTTGGAGTGCTTTGAGGTCTTCCTTGGAAAAGGGTTTATCTTGACATAAAAATTAGACAGAAGAATTCTCAGAAACTCCCTCATGATGTCTGTACTCAACTCAAAGAGGTAAACCTTCCTTTTGATAGAGCAGTTTTGAAACACTCTTTTTATACAACCTTCAAGTGTATAATTGGACCTCTTTGAGACCTTCGTTGGAAATGGGATTTCTTCATATAAAACTAGACAGAAGAATTCTCAGAAACTTCTTTGTGATGTGTGCATTCAACTCACAGAGTTGAACCTTTCTTTGGATAGAGCAGATTTGAAACACTCTTTTTGTAGTATTTCCAAGTGGATATTTAGAGCACTTTAAATCCTACGGTAGAAAAGGAAATATCTTCATATAAAAACTAGACAGAATCATTCCCAGAAACTACTTTGTGTTGTGAGCGTTCAACTCACAGAGTTTAACCTTTCTTTTGAAAGAGCAGTTTTGAAACACTCTGTTTGTAAAGTCTGCATCTGGATATTTGTAACGCTTTGAGGTTTTCTTTGGAAACGAGAATATCTTCACATAAAAAGTAGACAGAAGTATCCTCAGAAACTTCTTTGTGATGTCTGTACTCTACTCACACAGGTGAAACTTCCTTTAGATAGAGCAGTTTCGAAACACTTTTTTTGTAGAATTTGCAAGAGGATATTTAGAGCGCTTAGGGGCCTATGGTAGAAAAGAAAATATGTTCGTAGAAGAACTACACAGAAGCATTCTCAGAAACTACTTTGTGATGGTTACATTCAACTCACAGAGTTGAAGATTCCTCTTGATAGAGCAGTTTGTAACACTCTTTTTGTAGAATGTGCAAGTGGATACTTTGACCTCTTTGCGGCCTTTTTTGGAACCGGGAATTTCTTCATAAAAAAACTAGGCAGAAGAATTCTCAGAAACTTCTTTGTGATGGGTGCATTCAACTCACAGAGTAGACGTTAGGCGTTCCTTTCAATAGAGCAGTTTTGCAATACTCTTTTTGTAGAATTTGCAAGAGGATATTTAGAGCACTTTGCGGCCTATGGTAGAAAAGGAAATATATTGGTGCAAAAACTACACAGAAGCATTCTCAGAAACTACATTGTGATATCTGCATTCAACTCACTGAGTTGATTACTCTTGATAGAGCAGTTTTGAAACACTCCTTTGTAGAATCTGCAAGTCGATTTTTGGACTTCTTTGAGGCCTTCGCTGAAAACGGGATTTCTTCACATAAAACTAGACACAAGAATTCTCAGAAACTTCTTTTTGATGTGTGCATTAAACTCACAGTGTTGAATCTTCCTTTTAATAGAGCAGATTTGAAACACTATTTTTGTAGAGTTTCCAAGTGGATATTTAGAGCACTTAGAATCATACGGTAGAAAAAATTATCTTCATATAAATCTAGACAGAATAACTCCTAGAAGCTACTTTGTGATGTGTGCGTTCACATCACAGAGTTTAACCTTTCTTTTGATAGAGCCGTTTTGAAACACTCTGTTTGTAATCTGTGCATCTGGATATTTGGAGCGCTTTGAAGTTTTCTTTGGAAACGGGAATATCTGCACATAAAAAGTAGACAGAATTATTCTCAGAAACTTCTTTGTGATGTCTGTACTCAAATCACAGAGGTGAACCTTCATTTGATCGTGCAGTTTTGTAACACCCTTTTGTAGTGTTTGCAAGTGGATATTTAGAGCACTTTGAGGCCTATGGTAGAAAAGGAAATATCTTCACATAAAAACTAGACAGAAGCATTCTCAGAAACTGCTTTGTGATGTTTGCATTCAACTCGCAGAGTTGAACATTCCTCTTGATAGAGCAGTTTTGAAACACTGTTTTTTTAGTTTCTGCAAGTGTATATATGGACCTCTTTGAGGCCTTCATTGGAAACAGGATTTCTTCATATAAAACTAGACAGAAGAATTCTCAGAAACTTCTTTGTGATGTTTGTATTCAACTCACAGAGTGTAACCTTCCTTTTGATAGAGCAGATTTGAAACACTCTTTTTGTAGAATTTCCAAGTGGATGTTTAGAGCGCTTTGAATCCTATGGTAGAAAAGGAAATATCTTCATATAAAAACTAGACAGAATCATTGTCAGAAACTGCTCTGTGATGTTTGCATTCAACTCACAGAGATGAACATTCCTTTTGGTAGAGCAGTTTGTAACACTCTTTTTGTAGAATCTACAAGTGGATATTTGGACCTCTTTGAGGCCTTCGTTGGAACCGGTTATTTCTTCGAAAAAAAGTAGACAGAGGAATTCTCAGAAGCTTCTTTGTGATGTGTGTATTCAACTCACAGAGTTGAACGTTCCTTTCAATAGAGCAGTTTTGAAACACTCTTTTTGTAGAATTTCTAAGTGGATATTTAGGGCGCTTTTAGGCCTATAGTCGAAAAGGGAATATCTTCATATAAAAACTATGCATAATCATATTCAGTAACTACTTTATGATGTGTGCATTCGACTCACTGAGAACAACTTTTCTTTTGATAGAGCAGTTTTAAAACACTCTTTCTGTTGAATTTTCAAGTGTGTAATTAGAGCGTTTAGAGGCCTATGGTAGAAAAGGAAATATCTTCCCATAAAACTACACGGAAGCATTCCCAGATAGAGCAGTTTTGAAACACTCTTTATGTATAGTTTGCAAGTGGATATTTAGAGCGCTTTGAGGCCTATGGTAGGAAAGGTAATATCTTCACATAAAAACCAGACAGAAGCATTCTCAGAAACTACTTTGTGATGTTTGCTGCATTCAACTCACGGAGTTGAAAATTCCTCTTGATAGAGCAGTTTTGAAACACTCTGTTGTAGGTTCTGCAAGTGTATATTTGACCTCTTTGAGGCCTTCGTTGGAAACGGGTTTTCTTCATATAAAACTAGACAGAAGAATTCTCAGAAGCTTCTTTGTAATGTGTGCATTCAACTCACAGAATTCAACCTTCCTTTTGATGGAGCAGATTTGAATCACTCTTTTTGTAGAATTTCCAAGTGGATTTTTAGAGCGCTTTGAATCATATGGTAGAAAAAAATATCTTCATAAAAATCTAGACAGAATAACTCCCAGAAACTACTTTGTGATGTGTGCGTTCAACTCACAGAGTTTAACCTTTCTTTTGATAGAACAGTTTTGAAACAGTCTGTTTGTAAAGACTGCATCTGGATATTTGGAGCGCTTTTAGGTTTTCTTTGGAAACGGGAATATCTTCACATAACAAGTAGACAGAAGTATTCTCAGAAACTGCTTTGTGATATCTGTACTAAACTCACAAATGTGAACCTTCCTTTTGATAGCACAGATTTGAAACAATCTTTTTGAAGGGTTAGCAAGGGGATATTTTGAGCGCTTTGCGGCATATGGTAGAAAAGGAAATATCTTCACAAATAACTAGATAGAAATATTCTCAGAAACTTCTTTGTGATGTCTGTACTCAACTCACAGAGGTGAAACTTCCTTTTGATAGAACACTTTTGAAACACTCGTTTTGTAGAGTTTGCAAGTAGATATTTAGAGCACTTTGATGCCTATGGTGGAAAAGGAAATATCTTCATATAAAAACTAGACAGAATCATTCTCAGAAACTACTTTGTGATGTGTGCCTTCAACTCACAGAGTTTAACGTTTGTTTTGATAGAGCAGTTTTGAAACACTCTTTTTGTAGGATCTGCAAGTGGATATTTGGAGCGCTTTGAGGTCTTTTTTGGAAATGGGAGTATCTTCACATAAAAAGTAGACAGAAGTATTCTCAGAAACTTCCTTGTGATGTCTGCACTTAACTCACAGATTAAAACCTTCCTTTTGATAGAGCAGTTTTGAAACACTCTTTTTGTAGAATTTGCAAGTGGATACTTAGAGCGCTTTGGGGCCTATGGTAGAAAAGGAAATATCTTCGTAGAAAAACTACACAGAAGCATTCTCAGAAAATACTTTGTGATGTTTGCATTCAACCCACAGAGTTGAACATTCCTTTTGATAGAGCAGTTTTGTAACACTCTTTTTGTAGGATCAGCAAGTGCAGTTTGATCTCTTTGAGGCCTTCGTAGGAAACGGGTATTTCTTCATAAAAAAACTAGACAGAAGAATTCTCCGAAGCTTCTTTGTGATGTCTGCATTCAACTCACAGAGTTAAGCGTTGCTTTCAATAGAGCAGTTTTGAAACACTCTTTTTGTAGAATTTCCAATTGGATATTTAGGGCGATTTTAGGCCTATGGTTGAAAAGGAAATATCTTCATATGAAAACTAGACACAATCATTGTCAGAAACTTCCTTGTGATGCCTGCACTCAACTCACAGAGTTGAACCTTCCTTTTGAGAGAGCAGTTTTGAAACACTCTTTTTGTAGAGTTTGCAAGTGGATATTTAGAGCGCTTTGAGGCCTATGGTAGAAAAGGAAATGTCTTCATATAAAAACTAGACAGAAAAATTCTCAGAAACTACTTTGTGATGTGTGCCTTCAACTCACAGAGTTTAACCTTTCTTTTGATAGAGCAGTTTTGAAACACTCTGTTTGTAAAGTCTGCAAGTGGATATTTGGAGCGCTTTGAGGCCTTCTTTGGAAACGGGAGTATCTTCACATAAAATAGACAGAATTATTCTCAGAAACTTAATTGTGATGTCCGCATTCAACTCACAGATTTGAACCTTCCTTATGATAGAGGAGTTTTGAAACACTCTTTTTGTAGAATTTGCAAGTGGATATTTAGAGGGCTTTGGGGCCTATGGTAGAAAAGGAAATATCTTCGTCGAAAAACTACACAGAAGCATTCTCAGAAAATACTTTGTTTTGTTTGCATTCAACTTAGAGAGTTGAACATTCCTTTTGATAGAGCAGTTTTGTAACACTTTTTTTGTAAGATCAGCAAGTGGATATTTTGACCTCTTTGAGGCCTTCGTTGGAAGCGAGTATTTTTTCATAAGAAAGCCAGACAGAAGAATTCTCAGAAGCTTCTTTGTGATGTGTGCATTTAACTCACAGAGTTGAACGTTGTTTTCAATAGAGCAGTTTTGAAACACTATTTTTGTAGAATTTCCAATTGGATATTTAAGGCGATTTTAGGCCTATGGTTGAAAAGGAAATATCCTCATATGAAAACTAGAAAGAATCATTGTCAGAAACTTCCTTGTGATGTCTGCACTCAAGTCACAGAGTTGAACCTTCCTTTTGATAGAGCAGTTTTGAAACACTCTTTTTGTAGAATTTCCACGTGGATATTTAGGGCGCTTTTAGGCCTATGGTAGAAAAGAAAATATCTTCACATAAAAACTAGACAGATGCATTCTCAGAAACTACTTTGTAATGTTTGCATTCAACTCACAGAGTTGAACATTCCTCTTGATAGAGCAGTTTTGAGGCACTCTTTTTGTAGAATCTGCAAGTGCATATTCGGACCTCTTTGAGGCCTTCGTTGGAAACGAGATTTCTTCATAAAAAAACTAGATAGAGGAATTCTCAGAAGCTTCTTTTTGATGGGTTCATTCAACTCAAAGTGTTGAACGTTCCTTTCAATAGAGTAATTTTGAAACACTCTTTTTGTAAAATTTCCAAGTGGATATGTAGAGCGCTTTGAATCCTATGGTAGAAATGGAAATATCTTCATATAAAAACTAGACAGAATCATTCCCAGGAACTACTTTGTGATGTGTGTGTTCAACTCACAGAGTTTAACCTTTCTTTTGAGAGAGCAGTTTTGAAGCACTCAGTTTGTAAACTCTGCATCTGGATATTTGGAGCGCTTTGAGGTATTCTTTGGAAACGGGAATATCTTCACATAAAAAGTAGACAGACGTATTCTCAGAAACTCCTTTGTGATGTCTGTACTTAACTCACAGAGGTGAACCTTCCTTTTGATAGAGCAGTTTTGAAACACTCTTTTTGTAAAATTTCCAAGTTGATATTTAGAGCGCTTTGAATCCTATGGTAGAAAAGGAAATATCTTCATATAAAAACTAGACAGAATCATTCCCAGAAACTACTTTGTGATGTTTGCATTCAACTCACAGAGTTGGATATTCCTCTTGATGGAGTAGTTTTGAAACAATCTTTTTTTAGAATCTGTAAGTCGAAATTTGGACCTCTTTGAGGCCTTCGTTGGAAACGGGATTTCTTAATTTAAAACTAGACAGAATTATTCTCAGAAACTTCTTTGTGATGTGTGCTTTCCACTCACAGAGTTGAAACTTCCTTTTGATAAAGCAGTTTTGAAACACTCTTTGTGTAGAATTTCCAAGTGGATATTTAGAGCACTTTGAATCCTGTGGTAGAAAAAAATAACTTCATATAAATCTAAACAGAGTCATTCTCAGAAACTACCTGGTGATGTGTGCATTCAACTCACTGTGTTTAACTTTTCTTTTGATAGGTTATAAAACACTCTTTTTGTAGAATTTGCAAATGTGTATTTAGTGCCCTTTGAGGCCTATCATAGGAAAGGAAATATCTTCACATTAAAACTAGACAGAAGAATTCTCAGAAACTACTTTGTGATGTTTTCATTCAACTCACAGAGTTGAATATTCCTCTTGATAGAGCAGTTTTGAAACTCTCTTTTTGTAGAATCTACAAGTGCATATTTAGACCTCTTCGAGGCCTTCGTTGGAAACGGGATTTCTTCATATAAAACTAGACAGAAGAATTCTCAGAAACTTCTTTTTGATGTCTGCACTCAACTCACTGAATTCAACTCACCGAATTCAACTCTTCCTTTTGATAGAGCAGTTTTGAAACACTCTTTTTGTAGAATTTGCAAGTGGATATTTAGAGCGCTTTGGGGCTTATGGTAGGAAAGTAAATATTTTCATTGAAAAACTACACAGAAGCATTCTCAGAAACAACTTTGTGATGTTTGCAGTCAACTCAGAGAGTTGAATATTCATTTGGTAAAGAAGTTTTGTAACACTCTTTTTGTAGAATCTGCAAGTGGATATTTTGACCTCTTTGAGGCCTTTGTTGGAACCGGGTATTTCTTCATAAAAAAACTTGACAGGAGGATTCTCAGAAGCTTCTTTGTTATCTGTGCATTCAACTCACAGAGTTGAACATTCCTTTCAATAGAGCAGTTTTGAAACACTCTTTTTGTTGAATTTCCATTGGATATTTAGGGCGATTTTAGGCCTATCGTAGAAAAGGAAATATGTTCATATAAAAACTAGACATAATCATTCTCAGAAACTACTTGGTGATGTGTGCATTCAACTCAGTGAGTTTAACATTTCTTTTGACAGAGCAGTTTTTAAACACTATTTTTGTAGAATTTGCAAGTGTGTATTTAGAGCGCATTGAGGCCTATGGTAGAAACGGAAATATGTTCCCATAAAAACTAGACAGAAGCATTCTCAGAAACTACTTTGTGATGTTTGCATTCAACTCACAGAGTTGAACATTCCTCTTGATAGAGCAGTTTTGAAACACTCTTTTTGCAGAATCTGCAAGTGGATATTTGGATCTCTTTGAGGCCTTCGTTGTGACCGGGTATTTGTGCACAAAAAAACTTGACAGAAGAATTCTCAGAAGCTTCTTTGTGATGTGTGCATTCATCTCACTGAGTTGAACGTTCCTTTCAGTAGAGCAGTTTTGAAACACTCTTTTTGTAGATTTTCCAAGTGGTTATTTAAGGCGCTTTTATGCCTATGGTAGAAAAGGAAATATCTTCATATAAAAACTAGACAGAATCTTTCTCAGAAACTACTTGGTGATGTGTGCATTCAACTCACGAATTTGACTTTTCTTTTGATAGAGCAGTTTTGAAAAAATCTTTTTGTAGAATTTGCAGGTGGATATTTAGAACGCTTTGAGGCCTATGGAAGAAAAGGAAATATCTTCATATAATAACTAGACGTAATCATTCTGATAAACTGCCTTGTGATGTGACGTTCAAAGCTTTTGATAGAGCAGTTTGGAAACAGTCTGTTTGTGAAGTCTGAAAGTGGATATTTGGAGCCCTTGGAGGCCTTCTTTGGAAATGGGAGTATCTTCACATAAAAAGTAGACAGAGGTATTCTCAGAAACTTCCTTGTGATATCTGCACTCAACACACAGTTGAACCTTCCTTTTGATAGAGCAGTTTGGAAACACTCTTTTTGTAGAATTTGCAAGTGGATATTTAGCACGATTTGGGGCCCTTGGTAGAAAAGGAAGTATCTTCGTATAAAACTACACAGAAGCATTCTCAGAAACTACTTTGTGATGTTTGCATTCAACTCACAGAGTTGAACAATCCTTTTGATAGAGCAGTTTTTTAACACTCTTTTTGTAGAATCTGCAAGTGGATATTAGGACCTCGTTGTGGCCTTCATTGGGACCGAGTATTTCTTCATAAAAAAACTAGACAGAAGAATTCTCAGAAGCTTCTTTGAGATGTGTGCATTCAACACACAGAGTTGAACGATTCTGTCAATAGAGCGGTTTTGAAACACTCTTTTTGTAGAATTTCCTACTGGATATTTAGGGCGCTTTCAGGCCTATGGTATAAATGGAAATTTCTTCATAGAAAAACTAGAGAGAATCTTTCTCAGAAACTACTTGGTGATGTGTGCATTCAACTCACTGAGTTTAATCTTTCTTCGGATAGAGCAGTTTTCAAACACTCTTTTTGTAGAATTTGCAAGTGTGTATTTAGAGCACTTTGAGGCCTATGGTAAAAAAGGAAATATCTTCACATAAAATCTAGACAGAAGCATTCTCAGAAACTACTTTGTGATGTTTGCATTCAACTCACAGAGTTGAACATTCGTCTTGATAGAGCTGTTTTGAAACACTCTTTTTGTAGAATCTGCAAGTGGATATTTCAAACTCTTTGAGACCTTCGTTGGAAACGGGATTTCTTCTTATAAAACTAGACAGAAGATTTCTCCGAAACTTCTGTGTGATGTGTGCATTCAACTCACAGAGTTGAACCTTCCTTTTGATAGAGCAGATTTGAAACACTCTTTTTGTAGATTTTCCAAGTGGATATTTAGAGCGCTTTGAATCCTATGGTAGAAAAGGAAATATTTTCATATAAAACCTAGACAGAATATTTCCCAGAAACTACTTTGTGATGTGTGCGTTCAACTCATAGAGTTTACACTTTCTTCTGATAGAGTAGTTTTGAAACATTCTGTTTGTAATGTCTGCATCTGGATATTTGGAGCACCTAGATGTTTTCTTTGGAAATGGGGATATCTTCACCTAAAAAGTAGACAGAAGAATTCTCAGAAACTTTTTGTGATGTCTGTACTCAACTCACCGAGGTGAACCTTCCTTTTGATAGAGTAGTTTTGAAAAATTCTTTTGTAGAGTTTGCAAGTGGATATTTTGAGCGCTTTGAGGCCCATCGTAGAAAAGGAAATATCATCACATAAAAACTAGACAGAAGAATTCTCAGAAACTACTTTGTGATTTTTGCATTCAACACAAGGAGTTTAACATTCCTCTTGATAGAGCAGTTTTGAAACACTGTTTTTGTAGAATCTGTAAGTGGATATTTGGACCTCTTTGAGGCCTAAGTTGGAAACGGTATTTCTTCATATAAAACTACACCGAAGAATTCTCAGAAACTTCTTTGTGATGTGTGCATTCACCTCACAGAGCTAAACCTTCCTTTTGATAAAGCAGATTTGAAACAAACTTTTTGTAGCATTTCCAAGTGGATATTTAGAGCACTTTGAATCATATGGTAGAAAAGGAAATATCTTCATATAAAAACCAGACAGAATCATTCCCAGAAACTACTTTGTGATGTGTGTGTTCAATTCACAGTGTTTAACCTTTCTTTTGATAGAGCAGTTTTGAAACACTCTTTGTAAAGTCTGCATCTGGATAATTGGAGCGCTTTGAGGTTTTCTTTGGAAACGGGAATATCTTCACATAAAATGTAGACAGAAGTATTCTCAGAAACTTCATTGTGATGTCTGTACTCAACTCACAGAGGTGAACCTTCCTTTTGATAGAGCAGTTTTGAAACACTCTTTTTGTAGTGTTTGCAAGTGGATATTTAGAGCACTTTGAGGCCTATGGTAGAAAAAAAAATCTTCGTATGGAAACTAGACAGAATCATTCTCAGAAACTTCTTTGTGATGTGTGCATTCACCTCACAGAGTTGAATCTTCCTTTTGATAGAGCAGATTTGAAACACTTTTTTTGTAGAATTTCCAAATGTATATTTAGAGCGCTTTGAATCTTTTTGTAGAAAAGGAAATATCTTCATATAAAAACAAGTCAGAATCATTCTCAGAAACTACTTTGTTATGTGTGCATTCAACTGAATGTATTTAACTTTTCTTTTGATACAGCAGTTTTGAAACACTCTTTTTGTAGTGTTTGCAAGTGGATACTTAGAGCACTTTGAGGCCTATGGTAGAAAAGGAAATGTCTTCATATAATAACTAGACAGTATCATTCTGAGACACTACTTTGTGATGTGTGCGTTCAACTCACAGAGTTTAACATTACTTTTGATAGAGCAGTTTTGAAACACTCTGTTTGTAATGTCTGAAAGTGGATATTTGGAGCACTTTGAGGCCTTCTTTGGAAACGGGAGTATCTTCACATAAAAAGTAGACAGAAGTATTCTCAGAAACTTCCTTGTGATGTCTGCACTCAACACAGAGTTGAACTATCCTTTTGATAGAGCACTTTTGAAACACTCTTTTTGTAGAATTTGCAAGTGGATATTTAGAGCGCTTTGGTGCCTATGGTAGAAAAGGAAAATCTTCGTAGAAAAACTACACAGAAGCATTCTCAGAAACTACTTTGTGATGTTTGCATTCACCTCACAGAGTTGAACATTCCTTTTGATAGAGCAGTTTTGTAACATTCCTTTTGTAGAATCTGCAAGTGGATATTTTGACCTCTTTGAGGCCTTCATTGGGACTGGGTATTTCTTCATAAAAAACCTAGACAGAAGAATACTCAGAAGCTTCTTTGTGGTGTGTGCATTCAACTGAGAGAGTTGAACGATCCTGTCAATAGACTAGTTTTGAAACACTCTTTTTGTAGAATTTCCAAGTGGATAATTAGGGCGCTTTGAATCCTAATGTAGAAAAGGCAATATCTTCATATAAAAACTTGACAGAATGTTTCTCTGAAACTAATTTGTAATGTGTGTGTTCAACTCAGAGTTTAACCTTTGTTTTCATAGAGCAGTTTTGAAACACTCTTTTGTAGAATTTCCAAGTGTGTATTTAGAGCACTTTGAGGCCTATAGTAAAAAGGAAATATATCCACATAAAAACTAGATGGAAGTATTCACAGAAATTACTTTGTGATGTTTGCATTCAACTAACCGAGTTGAACATTCCTCTTGATAGAGCAGTTTTGGAACCATCTTTTTGTAGAATCCGCCAGTGGATATTTGGACCTCCTTGTGGCCTTCGTTTGAAACGTGATTTCTTCATATAAAACTAGACATAAGAATTTTCCAAAACTTCTTGGTGATGTGTGCATTCAACTTACAGAGTTGAACCATCCTTTCGAGAGAGCAGTTTTGAACCACTCTTTTGGTAGAATCTGCAAGTGGATATTTGGAATTCTTTGAAGCCTTCGTTGGAAACGGGTATAACTTCACATGAAAACTACACGGAACCATACTCAGAAACTACTTTGTGATGTGTGCACTCAACTGACAGGGTTGAATCTTTCTTTTGATTCAGCAGTTTTGAAACACTGTTTTTGTAGAATCTGCAAGTGGACATTTGGAGAGCCTTGAGGCCTACGTTACAAAAGGAAATACCTTCACATAAAAACCAGACAGAAGCATTTTCAGAAATTTCTTTGTTTTGTTTGCATTGAACTCACAGGGTTGCAGATACCTTTTCATAGAGCGGATTTGAAACACTCTTTTCATAGAATCTGCAAGTGTGTATTTGGACTGCTTTGAGGCCTTTGTTTGAAACGGAAATATCTTCACATAAAAACTAGACAGGAACATTCTGAGAAACTTCTTTTTGATATGTGCATTCACCACACAGAGTTGAACATACCTTTTCATAGAGCAGTTTTGAAAAACTCTTTTCTTTATATCTGTAAGTGGATATTTGCACTGCTCTTAAGCCTTCTTTGGAAACGGGAATATTACCACATAAAAAGTAGTCAACAATTCTCGGAAAATACTTTGTAATGTGTGCATTCAACTCAGATATTTGAACCTTTCTTTTGATAGAGTAGTTTTGAAACACTCTTTTTGCAGAATCTGCAAGTGGACATTTGGAGAGCTTTAAGGCCTATGGCGGAAAGGGAAATATCTTCACATAAAAACTAGACAGAAGCATTCTCAGAAACTTATTTTTGGTGGTTGCATTCAACTCACAGAGTTGAACGTACCTACTCATAGAGCAGTTTTGAAAAAGTGTTTTCGTAAAATCTGCAAGTAGATATTTGGACTGCTTTGAGGCCTTCATTGGAAACGGGAATATCTTCACATAAAAAATATTCAGAAGCATTCTCAGAAACTCCTTTGTGATGTGTGCATTTAACTTACAGGGTTAAACGTTTCTTTTGATAGAGCAGTTTTGAAACACCCTTTTTGTAGAATCAGCAAGTGGATATTTGGAGAGCTTTGAGGCCTATGGTGGAAAAGAAAATATCTTCACATAAAAACCAGACAGAAGCATTTTCAGAAATTTCTTTGTGATGTTTGCATTCAACTCAAAGAGATGCACATAGCTTGTCATAGAGCAGTTTTGTAACACTCTTTTCGTTGAATCTGCAAGTGGACATTTGAACTGCTTTGAGGCCTTCGTTGGAAATGGGAGTATCTTCACATAAAAACTAGACAGAACCATTCTCAGAAACTTCTTTGAGATGTGTGCTTTCAACTCACAAAGTTAAACCTTTGTTTTGATAGAGTCGTTTTGAAACACTCATTTTGTGGAATCTGCAAGTTGATCTTTGGAGCACTTTGAGGCCTATGGTGGAAAAGGATATATCTTCACATAGAAACTAGACAGAACCATTCCCAGAAACTTCTTTGTGATGTTTGCATTCAACTCACAGAGTTGAACATACCTTTTCATAGAGCATTTTTGAAACACTCTTTTGGTAGAATCTGTAAGTAGTTATTTAGACTGCTTTGAAGTTTTCGTTGGAAACGGTAATATCACCAAATAAAAAGTAGTCAAGCATTCGCAGAAACTTCTTTGTCATGTGTGCATTCAACTGACAGATTTGAACCATTGCTTTGATAGAGCAGTTTTGAAACACTCTTTTCGTTGGATCTGCAAGTAAATATTTGGAGTGCTTTGAGACCTATGGTGGAAAAAGAAATATCTTCACATAAAAACCAGACGGAAGCATTCTCAGAAACTTCTTTGTGATGTTTGCATTCAACGCACAGAGCTTAACATACGTTTTCATAGAGCAGCTTTGAAACACTCTTTTCGTAGAATCTGCAAGTGCATGTTTGGGCTGCTTTGTGGCCTTCATTGGAAACGGGTATATCTTCACATAAAAACTAGATAGACGCATTCTCAGGAACTTGTTTGTGATGGTTGCATTCAATTCACAGATTTGAACCTTTCTTTTGATATAGCAGCTTTGAAACACTCTTTTTGTAGAATCTGCAAGTGGAAATTGGAGAACTTTGAGGCCTCCAGTGGAAAAGGAAATATCTTAACATAAAAACTAGACAGAATCATTCCCAGAAACTTCTCTGTGATGTTTGCATTCAACTCACAGAGTTGAACGTACCTTTTCATACAGCAGTTTTGAAACACTCTTTTCGTAGAATCTGTAAGTGAATATTTGGACATCTTTGAGGCCTTCGTTGGAAACGGGAATATCACCACATACAAAGTAGGCAAGAATTCTCAGAAACTTCACTGTGATATGTGCATTCAACTCACAGATTTGAAACTTTCTTTTGTTGGAGCACTTTTGAAACACTCTTTTTGCAGAATCTGCAAGTGGAAATTTGGAGAGGTTTTAGGCCTATTGTGTGAATGAAAATATTTTCCCATAAAAACTAGACGGAAGCATTCTCAGAAACTTCTTTGTGATGTTTGCATTCAACTCAGAGAGCTGAACATAGCTTTTCATAGAGCAGTTTTTAAACACTCTTTTCGTGTTATTCCAAATTGTGGATATTTGGAATGCTCTTAGACCTTCATTAGAAACGGGAATATCTTCATCTAAAAACTAGACAGAAGCATTCTCAGAAACTTCTTTGTGATGTTTTCATTCAACTAACAGAGTTGAACATAGCTTTTCATAGAGCAGTTTTTAAACACTCTTTTCGTGGAATCTGCTAGGGGATATTTGGACTGCTCTTAGACCTTCGTTAGAAAAGGGAATATCTTCATCTAAAAACTAGACAGAAGCATTCTCAGAAACTTCTTTGTGATGTGTGCATTCAATTCACAGATTTGAACCTTTCTTTTGATAGAGCAGTTATGAAATACTCATTTTGCAAAATCTGAAAGTGGACATTTGGAGGTCTTTGCGGCCTACGGTGGAAAAGGAAATATCTTCACATAAAAACTAGACAGAAGCATTCTCAGAAACTTCTTTGTGATGTGTGGACTCAACTGAAAGGGTTGAATTTTTCTTTTGATAGAGCAGTTTAGAAACATTATTTTTGTAGAATCTGCAAGTGGATATTTGGACTGCTTTGAAGCCTTCGTTGGAAAAGTTAATATCTTCACATAAAAACTTGACAGAAGAATTCTCAGAAACTAATTTGTGATGTGTGCTTTCAACTCAGAGAGTTGAACATTTCTTTTTACAGAGCAGTTTTGAAACACTTTGTTTGTAGAATCTGCATGTGGACATTTGGAGAGCTTTGAGGCCTATGGTGGAAAAAAAAATATCTTCACATAAAAACTAGACAGAAGCATTCTCAGAAACTCCTTTGAGATGTTTGCATTCAACTCACAATGTTGAAGACACCTTTTAATAGAGCAGTTTGAAAAACTCTTTTTGTAGAATCTGCTAGTGGATATTTTGACTGCTCTTAGGCCTTTGATGGAAATGGGAATATCTTCACATAAAAACTAGACAGAAGTATTCTCAGAAACATGATTGTGTTGTTTGCATTCAATTCACAGATTTGCACCTTTCTTTTCATAGAGAAGTTTTGAAACACTCCTTTTGTAGAATATACGTGTGGAATTTTGGAGAGCTTTGAGGCCTCCAGTGGAAAAGGAAATATCTTCACATAACAACTAGACAGAAGTATTCTCAGAAACTTCTTTTTCACGTTTGAATTCAACTCACCGAATTGAACGTACCTTTTCATAGAGCAGTTTTGAAACACTCTTTTCATAGAATCTGCAAGTGGATATTTGGACTGCTTTGAGGACTTCTTTGGAAACGGGAATATCTCCACATAAAAACTAGAAAGAAGCATTCTCACAAACTTCTTTGTGATGTGTGCATTCATTTCAGAGATTTGAACTTTTCTTTTGATAGAGCAATTTTGAAACACTCTTTTTGTAGAATCTGAAAGTGGACATTTGGAGAGCTTTGAGGCTTAAGGTGGATAAAATATATCTACACATGAAAACTAGACAGAATAATTTTCAGAAACTTCTTTGTGATGTTTGCATTCAACTCACAGAGTTGAACATACATTTTCATAGAACAGTTTTGAAACACTCTTTTCGTTGAATCTGCAAGTGTATATTTGGACTGCTTTGAGGCCTTCTTTGGAAACTGGAAAATCTTCACATAAAAACTAGACAGAAGCATTCTCAGAAAATTCTTCAGGATGTTTGTATTCGACTCACTGAGTTGAACGTACCTTTCCATAGAGCAGTTTTGAAACACTCTTTTCGTATAATCTGCAAGTGGATATTTGGACTGCTTTGAGGCCTTCGTTGGAAATGGGAATATCTTCACATAAAAACTAGAGAGAAGCATACTCAGGAACTTCTTTGTGATGTGTGCATTCAATCAACAGATTTGAGGATTTCTTTTGATAGAGCAGTTTTGAAACACTCTTTTTGTATAATCTGCAAGTGGACATCTGGAGAGCTTCGAGGCTTTCAGTGGAAAAGGAAATATCTTCACATAAAAAAATGACAGAAGCATTCTCAGAAAATACTTTGTGATGTTTGCATTTAACTCGCAGGCTTGAACATACCATTTCATAGGGCAGATTTGAAACACTCTTTTCGTAGAATCTGCAAGTGGATATTTGGACGGCTTTGTGGGCTTCATTGGAAACGGGAGTATCTTCACATAAAAACTAGAGAGAAGCATTCTCAGAAACTTCTTTGTGATGTGTGCATTGAACTCACAGAGTTGAACCTTTGTTTTCATAGAGAAGTTTTGAAACACTCTTTTTGTAGAATCTGCAAGTGGACATTTTGAGAGCTTTGGGGCGTATGGTGGAAAAAGAAATATCTTCATATAAAAACTAGACAGAAGCATTCTCAGAAACTTCTTTGTGATGTGTGCATTCAACTCACAGATTTGAAACTCCTTTTGATAGAACAGTTTTGAAACACTCCTTTTGTAGAATCTGTAAGTGCATATTTGGAGTGCTTTGAGGCCTGTGGTAGAAAAGCACATATCTTCAAACAGAAACTAGACAGAACAGTTCTCAGAAACCAATTTGTGATGTGTGCATTCAATTGACTGTGTTGAATTTCCTTTTGGTAGAGCCGTTTTTTTAAACATTCTTTTTGTAGAATCTGCAGGTGTATATTTTAACTGCTTTAATGCCTTCCTTGGAAACAGTAATATCTTCAAATCACTAGATAGAAGCATTCTCAGAAACTTCTTTGTGATGTGCGCATTCAAGTCACAGAGTTGAACGTTTCTTTTGATAGAGCAGTTTTGAAACACTC
Organism: Homo sapiens; assembly: GCF_000001405.40. Taxonomy (NCBI): domain Eukaryota; kingdom Metazoa; phylum Chordata; class Mammalia; order Primates; family Hominidae; genus Homo; species Homo sapiens. The sequence continues at coordinate 90,477,101 of NC_000003.12, read as the reverse complement.
TTTTTGTAGAATCTGCCAGTGGATATTTAGACCGCTTTGAGGCCTTCATTGGAAACGGGAATATCTTCAAATAAAAACTAGACAGAAGCATTCTCAGAAACTTCTTTGTGATGTGTGCATTCAACTCACAGAATCAAAATTTTCTTTTGATCGAGCAGTTTTGAAACACTCTTTTTGTAGAATCTGCAAGTGGACATTTGGAGACCTTTAAGGCCTGGGGTGGAATAGGAAATATCTTCACATAGAGACTAGACTGAAGCATTCACAGAAAACTCTTTGTGAAGTGTGCGTTCAACTCACAGTGTTGAACCTTTCTTTTGATAGAGCAGTTTTGGAACACACTTTTTGTAATATCTGGAAGTGGATATTTGGACGGCAATGAGGCCTTCGTTGGAAAAGGGAATGCCTTCAAATAACTAGACAGAAGCATTCTCAGAAAGTTCTTTGTTATGTGTGCAATCAACTCACAGACTTGAACACTACTTTTGATAGAGCAGTATTGACACACTCTTTTTATAGAATGTGCTGGTGGACATTTAGAGGGCTTTGTGGCCTGTGGTGGAAAAGGAAATATCTTCGCATAGAAACTAGACAGAAGCATTCTCAGAACCTTCTTTGTGATGTGTGCATTCAACACACCGATTTCAACCTTCCCTTTGATCGAGCAGTTTTGAAACACTCTTTTGTAGAACCTGCAATTGCATATTTGGACTGCTTTGAGATCTTCTTTGGAAACGGGAGTATCTTCAAATAAAAACTAGACATAGGTATTGTCAGAAACTTCTTTGTGATGCGTGCGTTCCACTCACAGATTTCAACCTTCCTTTTGATAGCACAGTTTTGAAACACTCTTTTTGTAGAATCTGCAAGTGGACATTTGGAGGGCTTTGAGGCCTGCAGTGGAAAAGGGAATATCTTCCCATAGAGACTAGACAGAAGCATTCTCAGAAACCCCTTTGTAATGTGTGCATTCTACACATAGATTTGAACATTTCTTTTGATAGAGCAGTTTTGGAACACTGTTTTTGAAGAATCTGCAAGTGGACATTTGGATGGCTTTGAGGCCTGTGGTGGAAGCGGGAGTATCTTCAAATAGAAACTAGACAGAAGCATTCTCAGAAACTCCTTTTTGATCTTTGCATTCAACTCACACATTTGAAACTTCCTTTTGATAGAGCAGTTTTGAAATACTCTTTTTGTGGAATCTGCAAGTGGACATTTGGAGGGATTTGAGGCCTGTGTTGGAAACGGGAATATCATCACTTAAAAACCAGACTGAAGCATTTTCTGAAACTTCTTTGTGACGTGTGCATTCACCTTACAGAGTTGAACCTTCCTTTTGAAGGAGCAGTTTTGACACACTCTTTTTGAAGAATCTACAAGTGGACATTTGGAGCTCATTGAGGCCTGTGGTAGAAAAGAAAATACCTTCACATAGTAACTAGACAGAAGTATTGTCAGAATACACTTTGTAATGGGAGCATTCAACTCACAGGGTTGAATGTTTCTTTTGATAGAGCAGTTTTGAAACAATCTTTTTGTAGAATCTGTAAGGGGATATTTGGACGGCTTTGAGACCTTGGTTAGAAAAAAGAATATCCTCACTTAAAATCTAGATGAAGTCATTTTCAGAAAATTCTTTGTGATATGTGCATTCAACTCACAGAGTTTAACATTCCTTTTGATAGAGCAGTTTTGAAACACTGTTTTTGTAGAATCTTCAAGTGTACATTTGGAGAGCTTTGAGTCTTGTGGAGGAAACCAGAATACACTCACTTAAAAACTAGACAGAAGCATTTTCAGAAACTTCTTTGTGATGTGTGACTTCAACTCACAGAGTTGAACCTTCCTTTTGACAGAGCAGTTTTGAAACACTCTTTTTGAAGAATCTGCAAGTGGACGTTTGGAGCGCTTTGAGGCCTATGGTAGAAAAGAAATTATCTTCACATAGAAACTAGACAGAAGTATACTCAGAAACCTCTTTGTGATATGTGTATTCAACTCACAGAGTTGAACCTTACTTTTTATACAGCAGTTTTGAAACACTCTTTTGTACAATCTGCAAGTGGATATTTGGAGCGCATTGAGGCCTATAGTAGAAAAGAAAATATCTTCATATAAAACTAGACAGAAGCATTCTCAGAAACTTCTTTGGAATGTGTGCATTCAACTCACAGAGGTTAACCTTTCTTTTAATAGAGCAGTTTTGAAACACTCTTTTTGTAGGATCTGCAAGGGGATATTTGGACCGGTTTGAGTCCTTCGTTGGAAACGCGAGTATCCTCACTTAAAAACTAGACAGAAACATTTTCAGAAACTGCTTTGTGATGTGTGCATTCAACTCAGAGAGTTGTACCTTCCTTTTGATAGAGGAATTTTGGAACAATCTTTTTGAAGAATCTGTAAGTGGACATTTGGAGCGCTTTGAGGCCTATGGTAGAAAAGGAAATATCTTCATATGAAAACTAGACAAAAGCATTCTCAGAAACCACTTTGTGATGAGTTCATTCAACTCACAGAGTTGAAACTTCTTTTTGATAGAGCAGTTTTGAAACACTCTTTTTGAAGAATCTGCAAGTGGACATCTGGAGGGCTTTGAGGCCTCTGGTGGAAAATGTAATATCTTCACGTAAAGACTAGAAAGAAGCATTCTCAGAAACCTCTTTGTGATGTGTGTATTCAACACAGAGAGTTGAACATTTCTTTCAATTGAGCAGTTTTGAAACACTCATTTTGTAGAATCTTCAAGTGGACATTTGGAGGGTTTTGAAACCTGTGGTAGAAAAGGAAATATCTTCACATAGAAACTCAACAGAACGATTCTCAGAAGCCCCTTTGTGATGTTTGCATTCAATTCACTGAGCTGAAAATTCCTTTTGATAGAGCAGTTTTGAAACACTCTTTTTGTGGAATCTGCAAGTGGATATTTGGACCGCTTTGAGGCCTTCGTTGGAAACGGGAATATCTTCAAATAACTAGACAGAAGCATTCTCAGGAACTTCTTTGTGATGTGTGTCTCCAACTCACAGAGTTGAACCTTCCTTTTGATAGAACAGTTTTGAAATCCTCTTTTTGGGGAATCTGCAAGTGGACATTTGGAGGGCTTTGAGACCTGTGGTGGAAACGGGAGTATCTTCAAATTGAAACTAGACAGAGGCATTCTCAGAAACTTCTTTGTGATGTGTGCATTCAACTCACACAGTTGAAATTTCCTTTTGATAGAGCAGTTTTGAAACAGTCTTTTTGTAGAATCTGCAAGTGGACATTTGCAGGGATTTGAGGTTTGTGGTGGAAAAGGGAATATCCTCACTTAAAAACTAGACAGAAGCATTTTCAGAAACTTCTTTGTGATGTGTGCATTCAGCTCACAGAGTTGAACCTTCCTTTAGATAGAGCAGTTTTGAAACACTCTTTTTGAATAATCTGCAAGTGGACATTTGGAGAGTTTTGAGGCCTATGGTAGAAAAGGAAATATCTTCACATAGAAACTAGACAGAAGTATTCTGAGAATACTCTTTGTGATGTGTGCATTCAAATCATAGTGTTGAACCTTTCTTTTGATACAGCAGTTTTGAAACATAGTTTTTGTAGAATCTGCAAGGTGATATTTGGACCACTTTGAGACCTTTGTTGGAAAAGAGAATATCCCCACTTAAAAAGTAGACAGAAGCATTTTCAGAAAATTCTTTGTGATGTCTTCATTCAACTCACAGATTTGAATATTACTTTTGATACAGCAGTTTTGAAACACTCTTTTTGTAGACTCTCCAAGTGGACATTTTGTGTGCTTTGAGGCCTATGGTAGAACAGGAAATATTTTTAAGTGAAAACTAGAGAGAAGCATTCTCAGAAATTTCTTTGTGATGTGTGCATTCAACTAACCGAGTTGAACCTTCTTTTGATGGAGCAGTATTGAAACACTCTTTTTGTAGAATCTGCTAGTGGACATTTGGAGGGCTTTGAGGCCTGTGGTGGAAAAGGAAACATCTTCACATGGAGACTAGACAGAAGCATTCTCAGAATCCTCTTTGTGATCTGTGCATTCAACACAGAGATGAACATTTCTTTTCTTAGAGCAGTTTTGAAAAACTTTTCTGTAGAATCTGCAAGCAGACATTTGGTCGACTTTAAGGCCTGTGGTGGAAAAGTATATACCATCAAATAGAGACTAGACAAAAGCATTCTCAGAAGCCTCTTTGTTATGTGTGCATTCAACTCACAGAGTTAAACCTACCTTTTGATAGAGCAGTTTTGAAACACTCTTTTTGTAGAATCTACAAGTGGATATTTGGACAGCATTGAGTCCTTCGTTGGAAAACGGAATATCTTCACCTAAAAACTAGACAGAAGCATTCTCAGAAATTTCTTTGTGATTGATGTGTGTATTCAACTCACAGAGATGAACATTCCTTTTCATAGAGCACTTTTGAAACATTCTTTTTGAAGGATCTGTAAATGGATATTTGGAGTGTTTTCAGGCCTATGCTATAAAAGCAAATATCTTCACATTAAAAGTAGACAGAAGCATTCTCAGAAACTATTTTGTGATGTGAGCATTCAACACATAGAGGTTTAACTTTCTTTTGATAAAGCAGTTTGGAAACAATCTTTTTAGAGAAGCTGCAAGTGGATATTTGGACCGCCTTGAGGCCTTCGTTGGAAACGGGAATATTCTCACATAAAAGCTAGATAGAAGCATTTTCAGAAAGATCTTTGTGATGTGTGCATTCAACTCACAGAGTTGAACATTACTTTTGGTAGAGCAGTTTTGAAACACTCTTTTTGTAGAATCTCCAAGTGGATATTTTGTGCGCTTTGAGGCCTATGGTAGAAAAGGAAATATCTTCAAATAAAAACTAGACAGCAGCATTCTCAGAAACTTCTTTGTGATGTGTGCATTCAACTCACAGAATTGAATCTTCCTTTTTATGGAGCTGTTTTGAAACACTCTTTTTGTGGAATGTATAAGTAGATATCTGGAGGGATTTGAGGCCCTTGGTGGAAAAGGTGATATCTTCACATAGAGACTAGACAGAAGCATTGTCAGAAACCTCTTTGTGATGTGTGCATTCAACTCACAGAGTTGAACTTTCCTTTTGATAGAGCACTTTTGAAACACTCTTTTTGTAGGATCTGCAAGTGAATATTTCGACTGCTTTTAGACCTTCGTTGGAAAGAGGAATATCTTCAAATAAAACTAGACAGAAGCATTCTCAGAAACTTCTTTGTGTTCTGTGCACTCAACTCACACCATTGAAAATTCCTATTGATAAAGCACTTTTGAAACACTTTTTTGTAGAATCTCCTAGTGGACATTTGGAGGGCTTTGAGGCCTGTGTTGGAAACGGGAATATCCTCACTTAAAAGCTAGACAGAAGCATTTTCAGAAACTTCTTTGTGATGTGTGCATTCAACTCACAGAGTTGAACCTTTCTTTTGATATGCAGTCTTAAAACAATCTTTTTGAAGAATCTGCAAGTGGACATTTGGAGCGCTTTGAGGCATATGTTAGAAAAGGAAATATCTTCAAATAAAAACTAGACAGGAGCATTCTCAGGAACTTCTTTGTGATGTGTGCATTCAACTCACAGTGGGGAACATTTCTTTTGATAGAGCAGTTTTGAAACACTCTTTTTTTGTAGAATCTGCAAGGGCATATTTGGACCGCTTTGAGGCCTTCTTTGGAAACGTGAATGTCTTCAAATAACTACACAAATGCTTTCTCAGAACCTTCTTTGTGATGTGTGCAATCAACTCACAGACTTGAACCTTACTTTTGATAGAGCAATATTGAAACACTCTTTTTGTAGAATGTGCAAGTGGACATTTGGAAGGCTTTGAGGCCTGTGGTGGAAAAGGAAATATCTTCATATAGTAACTAATCAGAAGCATTCTTAGAAACTTCGTTGTGTTGTGTGCATTCAACACACAGAGATGAACCTTCCTTTTGACAGAACAGTTTCGAAACTCTGTTTTTGTAGAACCTATAAGTGGAAATTAGGAGTGCTTTGAGTCCTTCTTTGGAAATGGGAAATCTACAAATAAAAACTAGACAGAGCATTCACAGAGACTTCTTTGTGATGCGTGCATTCAACTCACAGATTTGAACCTTCCTTTTGATAGAGCGGTTTTGAAACACTCTTTTTGCAGAATCTGCAAATGGACATTTGGAGGGCTTTGAGGTCTGTGTTGGAAAAGGAAGTATCTTCACATAGAAACGAGACAGAAGCGTTATCAGAGACTTCTTTGTTATGTGTGCATTCAACTCACAGGGTTGAACCTTCCTTTTGATGGAGCAGTTTTGATACACTGTTTTTGTAGAACCTGCAAGTGGATATTTGGACTGCTCTGAGGCCTTCGTTGGAAACGGGAATATCTTCAAATAACTAGACGGAAGCATTCTCGGAAACTTCTTGGTGATCTGTGCATTCACCTCACAGAGCTGAACCTTCATTTTGTTAGAACAGTTTTGAAACACTCTTTTTGGAGAATCTGCAAGTGGATATTTGGACCGATTTGAGGCCTTTGTTGGAAACGGGAATATCTTCAAATAAAAACTAGACAGAAGCATTCTCAGATACTTCTTTGTGAAGTGTGCATTCAACTCACAGACTCGAACTTTCCTTTTTATAGACCAGTTTTGAAACCCTCTTTTTGTAGAATCTGCAAGTGTATATTAGGAGCTCTTTGAGGTGTATGGTAGAAAAGGAAATATCTTCACATAAAAACTAGACAGAAGCATTTTCAGAAACTTATTTGTCATTTGTGCATTCAACTCACGGAGTCGAACTTTTCTTTTGATAGAGCAGTTTTGATACACTCTTTTTGTAGAATCTGCAAGTGGACATTAGGAGCCCTTTAAAGCCTGTGGTGGAGTAGGAAATATCTTCACATAGAAACTAGACGGAACATTCTCAGAAACTTCTTTGTGATGTGTGCATTCAACCCACCGAGTTGGACCTTCCTTTTGATAGAGCAGTTTTGTAACATTCTTTTTGTAGAATCTGCAGGTGGATATTTGGAGCGCTTTGAGGTCTAAGGTGGAAAACAATATCTTCACGTAAAAACTAGACAGAAGAATTCTCATAAGGTAGTTTGTGATGTGTGCATTCAACTCACAGAGGTGAAGCTTTCTTTTGATTGAGCAGTTTTGAAATACTCTTTTTGGAAGATCTGCAAGTTGATATTTGGACCTCTTTGAGGCCTTCGTTGGAAACCGGAATATTCTCTCATAAAAACTAGACAGTACCATTTTCAAAAACATCTTTGTCATGTGTGCATTCAACTCACAGAGTTGAACATTACTACTGATGGAGCAGTTTTGAAACACTCTTTTTGTAGAATCTCCAAGCAGACAATTGGAGGGCTTTGAGGTCTATGGTGGAAAATGAAATATCTTCAAATGAAAACTAGACAGAAGCAATCTCAGAAACTTCTTCGTGTTGTATGCATTCAACTCACAGAGTTGAACCTTCCTTTTCATAGAACAGTTTTGAAACACTCTTTTTGTAGAATCTGCAAGTGGACATTTGGAGGGCTTTGAGGCCTGTGGTGGAAAACGAAATATCTTCACATAGAGACTAGACAGACGCATTCTCAGAAACATCCTTGTCATGTGTGCATTCAACTCACAGAGCTGAACCTTCCTATTCATAGAGCACTTATGAAACACTCTTTTTGTAGAATCTGCAAGTAGATATTTGGACTGCTTTGAGGAATTCGTTGGAAAAGGGAATGTCTTCAAATAACTAGACAGAAGCATTCTCAGAGACTTCTTTGTGATGTGTGCATTCAACTCACAGAGTTGAACCTTGCTTTTGATAGAGCAGTATTGAAACACTCTTTTTGTAGAAGGCGCAAGTGGACATTTGGAAGGTTTTGAGGCCTGTGGTAGAAAAGGGAATATCTTCAAATAGAAACTAGACAGAAGTATTCTCAGAAACCACTCTGTGATGTGTGCATTCAACTCACAGAGTTGAACCTTCCTTTTGATAGAGCAGTTTTGAAACACAGTTTCTGAAGTATCTACAATTAGACATTTGGAACACTTTGAGGTCTATGGTAGAAAAGGCAATATCTGGAGGAGCCAAGATGGCTGAATAGGAACAGCTCCAGTCTACAACTCCCAGCGTGAGTGACACAGAAGATGGGTGATTTCTGCATTTCCATCTGAGATACCGGGTTCATCTCACTAGGGAGTGCCAGATAGTGGACGCAGGTCAGTGGGTGCATGCACCGTGTGTGATGCGAAGCAGGGCGAGGCATCACCTCACTCTGGACCCACAACGGGTCAGGGAGTTCCCTTTCCTAGTCAAAGAAATGGGTGACAGACGGCACCTGGAAAATCGGGTCACTCCTGCCTGAATACTGCACTTTACCGACGGGCTTAAAAAACGGCGCACCACGAGATTATATCACGCACCTGGCTCGGCGGGTCCTACGCCCACGGAGTCTCACTGATTGCTAGCACAGCAGTCTGAGATCAAACTGCAAGGCGGCAGCGAGGCTGGGGTAGGTGTGCCTGGCATTGCCCAGGCTCGCTTAGGTAAACAAAGCAGCCGGGAAGCTGGAGCTGGGTGGAGCCCACCCCAGCTCAAGGAGGCATGCCTGCCTCTGTAGCCTCCACCTCTGGGTGCAGGGCACAGACAAACAAAAAGACAGCAGTAACTTCTGTAGACTTAAATGTCCCTCTCTGACAGCTTTGAAGAGAGCAGTGGTTCTCCCAGCACGGAGCTGGGGATCTGAGAACGGGCAGACTGCCTCCTCAAGTGGGTCCCTGACCCCTGACCCCTGAGCAGCTTAACTGGGAGGCACCCCCTAGCAGGGGCAGGCGGACGCCACACACAGCCGGGTACTCCAACAGACTCGTAGGAGTGGTAAAAGGAGGAACTGGTACCATTCCTTCTGAAACTATTCCAATCAATAGAAAAAGAGTGAATCCTCCCTAACTCATTTTATGAGGCCAGCATCATCCTGATACCAAAGCCAGGCAGAGACACAACCAAAAAAGAGAATTTTAGACCAATACCCTTGATGAACACTTATGCAAAATTCCTCTATAAAATACTGGCAAACCGAATCCAGCAGCACATCAAAAAGCTTATCCACCATGATCAAGTGGGCTTCAACCCTGGGATGCAAGGCTGGTTCAATATATGCAAATCAGTAAATGTAATCCAGCATATAAACAGAACCAAAGACAAAAACCACATGATTATCTCAATAGATGCAGAAAAGGCCTTTGACAAAATTCAACAACCTTTCATGCTAAAAACTTTCAATAAATTAGGTATTGATGGGACGTGTCTGAAAATAATAAAAGCTATCTATGACAAACCCACAGCCAATATCATACTGAATGGGCAAAAACTGGAAGCATAGCCTTTGAAAACGGGCACAAGACAGGGATGCCCTCTCTCACCACTCCTATTCAACATAGTGTTGGAAGTTCTGGCCAGGGCAATTAGGCAGGAGAAGGAAATAAAGGGTATTCAATTAGGAAAAGAAGAAATTAAATTGTCCCTGTTTGCAGACTCCATGATTATAAATCTAGAAAACCCCATTGTCTCAGCCCAAAATCTCCTTAAGCTGATAAGCAACTTCAGCAAAGTCTCAGGTAAAAAATCAGTGTACAAAAATCACAAGCATTCTTATACACCAACAACAGACAAACAGAGAGTGAAATCATGAGTGAACTCCCATTCACAATTGCTTCAAAGAGAATAAAATACCTAGGAATCCAATTTAGAAGGGATGTGAAGGGCCTTTTCAAGGAGAACTACAAACCACTGCTCAATGAAATAAAAGAGGATACAAACAAATGGAAGAACATTCCATGCTCATGGGTAGGAAGAATCAATATCGTGAAAATGGCCATACTGCCCAAGGTAATTTACAGATTCAATGCCATCCCCATCAAGCTACCAATGACTTTCTTCACAGAATTGGGAAAAACTACTTTAAAGTTCATATGGAACCAAAAAAGAGCCCGCATGGCCAAGTCAATCCTAAGCCAAAAGAGCAAAGCTGTAGGCATCACACTACCTGACTTCAAACTATAACACAAGGCTATAGTAACCAAAACAGCATGGTACTGGTACCAAAACAGAGATATAGATCAATGGAACAGAACAGTGCCCTCAGAAATAATGCCGCATATCTACAACTATCTGATCTTTGACAAACCTGACAAAAACAAGCAATGGGGAAAGGATTCCCTATTTAATAAATGGTGCTGGGAACACTGGCTAGCCATATGTAGAAAGCTGAAACTGGATCCCTCCCTTACACCTTATACAAAAATCAATTCAAGATAGATTAAAGACTTACATGTTAGACCTAAAACCATAAAAACCCTAGAAGAAAATCTAGGCATTACCATTCAGGACACAGGCATGGGTAAGGACTTCATGTTTAAAACACCAAAAGCAATGGCAACAAAAGCCAAAATTGACAAATGGGATCTAATTAAACTAAAGAGCTTCTGCACAGCAAAAGAAACTACCATCAGAGTGAACAGGCAACCTACAAAATGGGAGAACATTTTTGCAACCTACTCATCTGACAAAGGGCTAATATCCAGAATCTACAATGAACTCTAACAAATTTACAAGAAAAAAACAACCAACCTCATCAAAAAGTGGGCGAAGGACATGAACAGACACTTCTCAAAAGAAGACATTTATGCAGCAAAAAACACATGAAAAAATGCACACCATCACTGGCCATCAGAGAAATGCAAATCAAAACCACGACGAGATACCATCTCACACCAGTTAGAATGGCGATCATTAAAAAGCCAGGAAACAACAGATGCTGGAGAGGATGTGGAGATATAGGAACATTTTTACACTGTTGATGGGATTGTAAACTAGTTTAACCATTGTGGAAGTCAGTGTGGCGATTCCTCAGGGATCTAGAACTAGAAATACCATTTAACCCAGCCATCCCATTACTGGGTATACACCCAAAGGACTATAAATCATGCTTCTATAAAGACACATGCACACGTATGTTTATTGTGGCATTATTCACAATAGCAAAGACTTGGAACCAACCAAAATGTCCAAAAATGATAGACTGGATTAAGAAAATGTTGCACATATACACCATGGAATACTATGCAGCCATAAACAATGATGAGTTCATGTCCTTTGTAGGGACATGGATGAAATTGGAAATCACCATTCTCAGTTAACTCTCACAAGAAAAAAAAACCAAACACCACATGTTCTCACTCATAGGTGGGAATTGAACATTGAGAACACATGGACACAGAAAGGGGAACATCACATTCTGGGGCCTGTTGTGGGGTGGGGGGAGGGGGAGGGATAGCACTGGGAGATATACCTAATGCTAGATGACGAGTTAGTGAGTGCAGCGCACCAGCATGGCACATGTATAGATATGTAACTAACCTGCACATCGTGCACATGTACCATAAACTTAAAGTAAAAAAAAAAAAAGAAAAGGAAATATCTTCATTTGAAAACTACATGAAATCATTCTCAGAAACTTCTTTGTGATGTGTGCATTCAACTTACAGTCTTGAACCCTCTTTTTGATAGAGAAGTTATGAAACAATTTTTGTGAAGAATCTGCAAGTGGTCATTTGGAGGACTTTGAGGCCTGTGTTGGAAACGGGAATATCCTCACTTAAAAACTAGACAGAATCCTTGTGAGAAACTTCTTTGTGATGTGTGCATTCAGGTCACAGAGTTGAACCTTTTTTATGACATGGAATTTTTGTAACACTCTTTTTGTATAATCTGCAATTGGATATTCGGACTGCTTTGAGGGTTTTGTTGGAAACGGGAATATCTTCGAATAAAAACTAGACAGAAGCATTCTCCGAAATTTCTTTGTGATGTGTGCATTCAACTCACAGATTTGAACCTTCATTTTGATAGAAGAGTTTTGAAACCCTCTTTTTGTAGAATCTGCAAGTGGACTCTTGGAGGATTTTGAGGCCTGTGGTGGAAAATGAAATATCTTCACATAGATACTAGACAGAACCATTTGCAGAAACCTCTTTGGTATGTTTGCATTCAACTCACAGAGTTCAACCTTCCTTTTGATAGAGCAGTTTTGAAACACTCTTTTTGTACAATCTGCATGTGGATACTTGGACCACTTTGAAGCCTTTATTGGAAAAGTGAATATCTTCAAATAACTAGACAGATACATTCTCAGAAACTTCTTTGTGATGTGTGCATTCAAATTACAGAGTTGAACCTTCCTTTTGATAGAGCAGTTTTGAAACACTCTTTTTGTAGAGTCGACAAGTGGATATTTGGAGCGCATTGAGGCCTATGGTAGAAAAGCAAATATCTTCACATAAAAACTAGACAGAAGCAGTCTCTGAAAGTAGTTTGTGATGTGTGCATTCAACTCACAGAGGTGAACTTTTCCTTTGATAGAGCAGTTTGAAACACTCTTTTTGGAGAATCTGCAAGTGGACATTTGGACCGCTTTGAGGTGAACATTTGGACCACTTTGAGGCTTTCATTGGAAACGAGAATATTCTCACATAAAAACTAAACAGAAGCATTTTCAGAAACTAATTTGTGATGTGTGCATTCAACTCACAGAGATGAACCTTCCTTTTGATAGAGCAGTTTTGAAACCCTCTTTTTGTAGTATCCGCAAGTGGACATTTGGAGAGATTTTGGGCCTGTGGTGGAAACGGGAATATCCTCACTTAAAAACTAGACAGAAGCATTTTCAGAAACTTCTTTGTGATGTGTGCATTCAACTCAGAGAGTTGAACCTTCCTTTTGATAGAGCAGTTTGAAACACTTTTTTGTAGAATCTGCAAGTAGCCATTTGGAGCGATTTTGGGCCTATGGTAGAAAAGGAAATATCTTCATATGAAAACTACACAAAAGCATTCTCAGAAACTACTTTGTGATGTGTGCATTCAACTCACAGAGTTTAAACTTCTTTTTGATAGAGAAGTTTTGAAACACTGTTTTTGAAGAATCTGCAAGTGCATACTTGGACTGCTTTGAGGCCTTGGTAAGAAACGGGAATATCCTCCAATAAAAACTAGACAGAAGCATTCTCAGAAACTTCTTTGTGATGTGTGCATTCAACTCACAGATTTGAACCTTCCTTTTGATAGAACAGTTTTGCAACACTCTTTTTGTAGAATCGGCAAGTGGACATTTGGAGAGTTTTAAGGCCTGTGGTGGAAAAGGAAATATCTTCACATAGAAACTAGACAGAACCATTCTCAGAAACCTCTTTTTGATGTGTGCATTCAACACACCGTGTCGAAACTTTCTTTGATGGAGCAGTTGTTAATCACTGTTTTTGTAGAATCTGCAAGTGGACACTTTAGAGCTTTAAGGCCTCTGGTGGACAAGGAAATATCTTCACTTAGAAACTAGACTGAAGCATTCTCAGAAAATTCTTTGTGACGTGTATATTCAACTCACAGAGTTGAACCTTCCTTTTGATAGAGAAGTTTTGAAACACTCTTTTTGTAGAATCTGCAAGTGGATATTTGGAGCGCTTTGAGGACTATTGTAGAAAAGCAAATATCTTCACATAAAAACTAGACAGAAGCATTCTCAGAAAGTACATTGTGATGTGGGCATTCAATTCACACAGTTGAAGGTCCCTTTTGATTGAGCAGTTTTGAAACACTCTTTTTGTAGTATCTGCAAGTGGACATTTGGTGTGCTCTGAGGCCTGTGGTAGAAAACGAAATATCTTCATATAAAAACTAGACAGAGGCATTCTCAGAAACTACTTTGTGATGTGTGCATTCAAACCACAGAGTTGTCCTTACTTTTGATAGAGCAGATTTGAAACACTCTTTTTGTAGATTCTGCAAGTAAACATTTGCACCGCTTTAAGGTCTGTGGTGGAAAAGGAAATATGTTCACATAGAGACTGGACAGAAGCATTCTCAGAAACCTCTTTGTGATGTGTGCATTCAACTCACAGATTTTAACCTTCCTTCTGATAGACCAGTTTTGAGAGACTCTTTGTGCAATCTGCAAGTGGATATTTTGACCTCTTTGAGGCCTTTGTTGGATAAGGGAATGTCTTCAAATAACTAGACAGAAGAATTCTCAGAAACTTCTTTGTGATGTGTGGATTCAACTCAGAGAACTGAACCTTCCTTTTGATAGAGCAGTTTTCACACACTCTTTTTGTAGAATCTGCAAGTGGATATTTGGAGCTCCTTGAGGCCTATGGGAGTAAAGCAAATATCTTCACATAAAAACTACACAGAAGCAATCCCAGAAAGTACTTTGTGATGTGTGCTTTCAACTCACAGAGGTGAACATTTCTTTTGATAGAACCTTTTGAAACACTCTTTTTGGGGAATCTGCAAGTCGATATAAGGACATCTTTGAGGCCTCCGTTGGAAACGGGTATATTCTCACAAAAAAACTAGACAGAAGCATTTTAAAAACTTCTTTGTGGTGTGTGCATTCAACTCAGAGAATTGAACCTTCCTTTTGATAGAGTAGTTTTGAAACACTGTTTTTTGTAGAATCTGCAAATGGACATTTGACCGATTGAATGCCTGTGATTGAAAACAAAATATCTTCACATAGGGAATAGAGAGAAGCATTCTCAGAAACAACTTTGTCATTTGTGCATTCAACTCACAGAGTTGTGCCTTCCTTTTGAAAGATCAGTTTTGAAAAACTCTTTCTGTAGAATGTCCAAGTGGATATTTGGATCGCATTTAGGTCTTCGTTGGAAAAGGGAATATCTTCAAATAACTAGACAGAAGCATTCTCAGAAGCTTCTTTGTGATGTGTGCATTCAACTCACAGAGTTGAACCTTCCTTTTGATAGAGCAGTTTTGAAGCACTTTTTTTGTAGAATCTGAAAGTGGAACTTTGGAGGGCTTTGAGGCCTGAGGTGGAAAAGGAATTATCTTCACATAGAAACTAGACACAAGCATTCTCAGAAACTTCTTTGTGATGTGCACATTCAACTCACAGAGATGAAACTTCCTTTTGATAGAGCAGTTTTGAAATACTCTTTTTGTAGAATCTGTAAGTGCGTATGTGGAGTGCTTTGAGGCCTGTGGTAGAAAAGCACATATCTTCACATAAAAACTAGACAAAAGCATTCTCAGAAAGTACTTTGTGATGTGTACATTCAACTCACAGAGGTGAACCTTTCTTTTGATAGAGCAGTTTTGAAACACTCTTTTTGGAGAATCTGCAAGTGGATATTCGGACCGCTTTGAAGCCTTCGTTGGAAACGAGAATATTCTCACATAAAAACTGGACAGAAGCATTTTCAGAAACTTCTTTGTGATGCGTGCATTCAGCTAACAGAGTTGAACCTTCGTTTTGATGGAGCAGTTTTGAAACACTCTTTTTGTAGAATCTGCAAGTGAACATTTGGAGGGCTTTGAGGCCTGTGGTGGAAAAGGGAATATCTTCACATAGTGACTAGACAGAAGGATTCTCAGAAACCTTTTGTGATGTGTGCATTCAACACACAGAGTTGAGCCTTTCTTTTGATAGAGCTGTTTTGAAACACTCTTTTTTTAGAATCTGCAATTGGACATTTCGACCGCTTTAAGGCCTATTGTGGAAAAAGAAATATCTTCACACAGAGACTAGACAGAAGAATTCTCAGAAACTCCTTTGTGATGTGTGCATTCACCTCACAGAGTTGAGCCTTTCTTTTGATCGAGCAGTTTTGAAACACTCTTTTTGTAGAATCTGCAAGTGGACATTTGGATGGATTTGAGGCCTGTGATGAAAACGGGAAAATCCTCACTTAAAAACTAGACAGAAGTCTTTTGAGAAACTCCTTTGTGATGTGTGCATTCAACTCACAGAGTTGAACATACCTTTTCATAGAGCAGTTTTGAAACAGTCTTTTTGTATAATCTTCAATTGGATATTTAAACCTGTTTGAGGCCTTCTTTGGAAACGGGAATACCTTCAAATAAAAACTAGACAGAAGCATTCTCAGAATCTTCTTTGTGATCTGTTCATTCAACTCACAGAGTTGAACCTTCCTTTTGATAGAGCAGTTTTGAAACACTGTTTTTGTAGAATCTGCAAGTACATATTTAAGACAGCTTTCAGTCCTTCGTTGGAAACAGGTATATCTTCACCTAAAACTAGAAGAGGCATTCTCAGAAATTCCTTTGTGATGTTTGCATTCAACTCACAGAGTTGAAAAATCCTTTTTATGGAGCACTTTTTAAACACTCTTTTTGTAGAATCTGCAAATGGATATTTGGAGCGCTTTGAGGCTTATGGTAGAAAAGCAAATATCTTCATATAAAAACTAGACAGAAGTATTCTCAGAAACTACATATTGGTGTGTGCATTTCACACACAGAGTTGAACATTCCTTTTGTTAGAGCAGTTTTGAAACACACTTTTTGTAGAATCTGCAATTTGATATGTGATGAGCTTTGAGGCCTATGGTAGAAAAGCAAATATCTTCACATAAAAACTAGACGGAAGTATTCTCAGAAACTACTTCGTGATGTGTGCACTCAACTCAGGGAGGTGAAACTTTCTTTTGGTAGAGCAGTTTTCAAACACTTTTTGAGGATATGCAAGTGGATATTTGGACCGCTTTGAGGCCTTCATTGGAAACGGAAATATTCTCACATAAAAGCTAGACAGAAGCATTTTCAGAAAATTCTTTGTCATATGTGCATTCAACTCACAGAGTTGAACATTACTTTTGATAGAGCAGTTTTGAAACACTCTTTTTGTAGAATCTGCAAGTGGACATTTTGAGCGCTTTGAGGTCTGAGTTAGAAAAGGCAATGTGTTCAAATAAAAACTTAGACAGGAGCATTCTCAGAAACTTCTTTGTGATGTGTGCATTCAACTCACAGAGTTGAACCTTTCTTTTGACAGAGCAGTGTTGAAACACTCTTTTTGTAGAATCCGCACGGGAACATTTGGAGGGCTTTGAGGCCCGTGTTGGAAAAGGAAATATCTACACATAGAGAATAGACAGAAGCATTCTCAAAAACTTCTTTGTGATGCTTGCATACAACTCACGGAGAAGAACCTTCCTTTTGATAGAGCAGTTTTGAAATAATCTTTTTGTAGAATCTGCAAGTGGGTATTTGGACCGCTTTGTGTCCTTCATTGGAAACGGGAATATCTTAAAATAAAATCCAGACAGAAGCGTTCTCAGAAACTTCTTTGTTACCTGTCCATTCAAGTGACACAGTTGAGACTTCCTTTTGCTAGAGCAGTTTTGAAACACTCTTTTTGTAGAATCTGCTAGTGGAAATTTTGGGGGCTTTGAAGCCTGTGGTGGAAATGGGAATATCCTCACTTACATATTAGACAGAAATATTCTCAGAATCCACTTTGTGATGTGTGCATTCACCTCACAGAGTTGAACCTTCCTTTTGATACAGCAGTTTCAAAATACTCTTTTTGTGGAATCTGCAAGTGGATATTTGGAGTGCTTTGAGGCCTATGGTAGAAAAGAAAATATCTTCATATAAAACTAGACAGAAGCACTCTCAGAAACTTCTTTGTGATGTGTGCATTGAACACACAGTGGTGAACCTTTACTTGGATAGAGCAGTTTTGAAACACTCTGTTTGTAGAATCTGCAAGGGGATATTTGGTCCACTTTGAGGCCATCATTGGAAATGGGAATGTCTTCAAATAAGGAGACAGAAACATTCTCAGTGAATTCTTTGTGATGTGTGCAATCAACTCACAGAGTGGAACCTTACTTTTGATAGTGCAGTATTGAAACACTTTTTGTAGAATGTGCAAGTGGATATTTGGAGTGTTTTGAGGACTGTGGTGGAAAGGAAATTATCTTCATATAGAAACTAGACAGAAGCATTATCAGAAACTTCTTTGGATGAGTGCATTCAACTCACAGAGTTGAACCTTCCTTTTGATAGAGCAGCTTGGAAACACTCTTTTTGTAGAATCTGCAAGTGGACATTTGGAGGGCTTTGAGGCCTGTGGTGGAAATGGGAATATCCTCACTTAAGCTAGACAAAAGCATTCGCAGAAATTTCTTTGTGATATGTGCATTCAACTCACAGAGGTGAAACTTTCTTTTGATAGAGCACTTTTGAAACACTCTTTTTGGATAATCTGCAAGTGGATATTTGGACCGCTTTGAGGACTTCTTTGGAAACGGGAATATTCTAACATAAAAACTGGACAGAAGCATTTTCAGAAACTTCTTTGTCATGTGTGCATTCAACTCACTGATTTGGACATTACTTTTGATAGAGCACTTTTGAAACACTCTTTTTATAGAATTTCCAAGTGAACATTTGGAGGGCTTTGAGGACTATGGTAGAAAAGGAAATAACTTCAAATGAAAACTAGACAGAAGGATTCTCAGAGACTTCTTCGTGATGTGTGCATTCAACTAACCGAGTTGAACCTTCCTTTTGATGGAGCAGTTTTGAAACATTCTTTTTGTAGAATCTGCAAGTGAACATTTGGAGGGCTTTGAGGCCTGTGGTGGAAAAGGAAATATCTACACATAGAGACTAGACAGAAGCAATCTCAGAAACCTCTTTGTGATGTGTGCATTCAACACATAGAGTTGAGCCTTTCTTTTCATAGAGGAGTTTGGAACCCTCTTTTTTTAGAATCTGCAATTGGACATTTGGACCGCATTAAGGCCTATTGTGGAAAAGGAAATATCTTCACATAGAGACTAGACAGAAGAATTCTCAGAATCCAGATTGTGATGTGTGCATTCAACTCACAGAGTTGAACCTTCCTTTTGATAGAGCAGTTTTGAAACATTCTTTTTGTTGAATCTGCAAGAGGACATTAGGAGGGCTTTGAGGCCTGTTGTGAAAACCGGAATATCCTCACTTAAAAACTAGACGGAAGCCTTTTGAGAAATTCCGTTGTGATGTGTGCATTCAACTCACAGTGTTGAACATAACTTTTCATAGAGCAGTTTTCAAACAGTCTTTTTGTATAATCTGCAAGTGGATATTTAAAGCGCTTTTAGGCCTTCTTTGGAAACGGGAATATCTTCAAATAAAACCTTGAGAGAAGCATTCTCAGAATCTTCTTTGTGATCTGTGCATTCAACTCACAAAGTTGAACATACTTTTCATAGAGCAGTTTTGAAACACTCTTTTTGTAGAATCTGCAAGTGGACATTTGGAGAGCTTTGAGGCCTATGGTGGAAAAGGAAATATCTTCACATAAAAACTAGGCAGAAGCATTCTCAGAAACTTCTCTCTGATGTGTGTATTCAGCTCACAGATTTGACCCTTTGTTTTGATAGAGCGGTTTTGAAACGCTCTCTTTGTAGAATCTGCAAGTGGACATTTGGAGAGCTTTGAGGCCTATTGTGGAAAAAGAAATATCTTCACATAACTAGACAGAAGCATTCTCAGAAATTTCTTTGTCATTTTTGCCTTCAACTCACAGAGTTGAACATACGTCTTCATAGAGCAATTTTGAAACACTCTTTTCGTAGAATCTGCAAGTGTATATTTGGACTCTTTTGAGGCATTCGTTGGAAACTGGAATATCTTCACATAAAAACTAGACAGAAGGATTCTCAGAAACTTCCTTGAGATATGTGGATTTAACTCACAGAGCAGAACCTTTCTTTTGATAGAGCAGTTTTGAAACTCTCTTTTTGTACAATATGCAAGTGGACATTTGGAGAGCTTTGAGGTCTATGTTGGAAAAGGAAATATCTTCACATAAAAACTAGACAGAAGCATTCTCAGAAACTTCTTTGGGATGCTTGTATTCAACTCACAGAGTTGAACGTACGTTTTCATAGAGCAGTTTTGAAACACTCTTTTCGTAGAATCTGCAACCGGGTATTTGGACTGCTTTGAGGCCTTCTTTGGAAACGGGAATATCTTCAAAAATAACTATACAGAAGCATTCTCAGAAACTTCGTTGTGTTGTGTGCATTCAACTCACAGATTTGAACCATTGTTTTGATAGAGAAGTTTTCAAACACTCTTTTTGTAGAACCTGCAAGTGGACATTTGGAGAGCTTTGAGACCTATGGTGGAAAAGGAAATATCTTCACATAAAAACTAGACAGAAGCATTCTCAGAAACTTCTTTATGATGTGTGCACTCAACTCACCGATTTGAACCTCTCTTTTGACAGAGCGGTTTTGAAACACTCTTTTTGTAGATTGTGTAAATGGACATTTGGAGAGCTTTGATGCCTGCAGTGTATAAGGAAATATCTTCATGTGAAAACTAGACAGACGCATTCTCAGAAACTTCTTTGTGATGTTCGCATTCAACTCACAGAGTAGAATGTAATTTTTCATAGAGCAGTTTTGAAACACTCTTCATGTAAAATCTGCAACTGGATATATGGACTGCTTTGAGGCTTTCTTTGGAAACGGGAATATCTTCAACAATAACTATAAAAAGCATTCTCAGAAACTTCGTTGTGATGTGTGCATTCAACTCACAGTTTTGAACCATTGTTTTGATAGAGAAGTTTTCAAACACTCTTTTTGTAGAACCTGCAAGTGGACATTTGGAGAGCTTTGAGGCCTATGGTGGAAAAGGAAATATCTTCACATAAAAACTAGACAGAAGCATTCTCAGAAACTTCTTTGTGATGTTTGCATTGAACCCATGGAGTTGAAGATTCCTTTTCATAGAGCAGTTTGAAACACTCTTTTGTTAGAATCTGCTAGTGGACATTTTGACTGCTCTTAGGCCTTCGTTGGAAATGGGAATATCTTCACATAAAAACTAGACAGAAGCATTCTCAGAAACTTGTTTGTGACATTTGAATTCAATTCACAAATTTGAACCTTTCTTTTGATAGAGCAGTTTTGAAACACTTTTTGTAGAATATGCTGGTGGACATTTGCAGAGCTTTGTGGCCTCCAGTGGAAAAGAAATATTTTCACATAAATACTAGACAGAAGCATTCTCAGAAATTTCTTTGTGATGTTTGCATTCAACTCACACAGTTCAACGTACCTTTTCATAGAGCAGTTTTGAAACACTCTTTTCGTGGAATCTGCAAGTGGATATTTGGACTGCTTTGACGCCATCGTTGGAAACGGGAATATCTTCACATAAAAACTAGAGAGAAGCATTCTCAGAAACTTATTTGTGATGTTTGCATTCAACTCACAGAGTAGAATGTAACTTTTCATAGAGCAGTTATGAAACTATCTTTTTGAGAATCTGCATGTGGACATTTTGAGACGTTTGAGGCCTATGGTGGAAAAGGAAATATCTTCACATAAAAACAAGACAGAAGCATTCTCAGAAACTTCTTTGTGATGTTTGCATTCAACTCACAGTGTTGAACATACCTTTTCGTAGAGCAATTTTGAAACTCTCTTTCGTAGAATCTGCAAGTGTATATTTGGACTGCTTTGAGGCCTTCGTTGGAAACTGGAATATCTTCACATAAAAACTAGACAGAAGAATTCTCAGAAACTTCTTTGTGATGTGTGCATTCAACTCACGGATTTGAAACATTGTGTTGATAGAGCAGTTTTCAATCACTCTTTTTGTAGAATCTGCAAGTGGACATCTGGAGAGCTTTGAGGCCTATGGTGGAAAAGGAAATATCTTCACATAAAAACTAGAAAGAAGCACTCTCAGAAACTTCTTTGTGATGTGTCCATTCAACTATCAGATTTGAAACTCCTTCTGATAGAACAATTTTGAAACACTCTTTTTGTAGGATCTGTAAGTGGACATTTGGAGAAGTTTGAGGCCTGGATTAGAAAAGAAAATATCTTCACACAGAAACTAGACAGAGCAGTTCTCAAAAACCAATTTGTGATGTGTGCATTCAACTCACTGTGTTGAACTTTCCTTTTGATAGACCTGTTTTTTTAAACATTCTTTTTGTAGAATCTGCAGGTGTGTATTTGAACGGCTTTGATGCCTTCCTTGGAAATGGGAATATCTTCAAATATCTAGATTGAAGCATTCTCAGAAACTTCTTGGTGATGTGCGCATTCAACTCACACAGTTGAACGCTTCTTTTGATAGAGAAGTTTTGAAACACTCTTTTTGTAGAATCTGCCAGTGGATATTTAGACCACTTTGAGGCCTTCATTGGAGACGGGAATATCTTCTAATAAAAACTAGACAGAAGCATTCTCAGAAACATCTTTGTGATGTGTGGATTCAACTCACAGAATCAAACTTTTCTTTTGATCAAGCAGTTTTGAAACACTCTTTTTGTAGAATCTGCAAGTGGCCTTTTGGAGCCCTTTAAGGCCTGGGGTGGAATAGGAAATATCTCCACATAGAAACTAGACAGAAGCATTCTCAGAAACTTCTCTGTGATGTTTTCATTCAACTCACAGGGATGAGCCTTCCTTTTGATTGAGCTGTTTTGAAACACTATTTTGTAGAATTTGTAAGTGCATATTTGGAGTGCTTTGAGGCCTGTGGTAGAAAAGCAAATATCTTCACATAAAAAGTGTAAAGAAGCATTCTCAGAAAGTACTTTGTGATGTGTGCATTCAACTTACAGAGGTGAACCTTTCTTTTGAGAAAGCAGTTTTGAAACACTCTTTTTGGAGAATCTGCAAGTGGATATTTGGGCCACTTTGAGGCCTTCGTTGGAAACGGGAATATTCTCACATAAAAACTGGACAGAAGCATTTTCAGAAACTTCTTTGTCATGTGTGCATTCAACCCACAGAGTTGAACATTACTTTTGACAGAGCAGTTATGAAACAATCTTTTTGTAGAATCTCCAAGTGGACATTTGGAGGGCTTTGAGGATTATGGTAGAAAAGGAAAAAAACTTCAAATGAAAACTAGACAGAAGGATTCTCAGAGACTTCATCGTGATGTGTGAATTCAACTAACAGATTTGAAACTTCCTTTTGTTGGAGCATTTTTGAAACTTTCTTTTTGTAGAATCTGCAAGTGAACATTTGGAGGGCTTTGAGGCCTGTGGTGGAAAAGGAAATATCTTCACATAGAGACAAGACAGAAGCATTCTCAGAAACCTCTTTATGATGTTTGCATTCAACACACAGAGTTCAGCCTTTTTTTGATAGATCACTTTTGAAACACTCTTTTTGTAGAATCTGCAATTGGACATTTGGACGGCATTAAGGCCTATTGTGTAAAAGGAAATATCTTCACATAGAGACTAGAAAGAAGAATTCTCAGAACTCAGTTTGTTATGTGTGCATTGAACTCACAGAGTTGAACCTTCCATTTGATACAGCAGTTTTGAAACACCCTTTTTGTAGAATCTGCATGTGGACATTTGGAGGGCTTTGAGGCCTGTGGTGAAAACAGGAATATCCTCACTTAAAAACTAGACAGAAGCCTTCTGAGCAACTCCTTTGTGATGTGAGCATGCAACTCACAGAGTTGAACCTTCCTTTTGATAGAGCAGTTTTGAAACTTTCTTATTGTACAATCTGCAAGTGAATATTTAAACCGCTTTGAGGCCTTCTTTGGAAACGGGAATATCTTCACATAACTAGACAGAAGCATTCTCAGAATCTTCTCTGCGATCTGTGCATTCAACTCACAGAGTTGAATCTTTCTATTGATAGAGCAGTTTTGAATCACTCTTTTTGTAGAATCTGAAGGTGGATATATGGACAGCTTTGAGTCCTTTGTTGAAAATGGGCATATCTTCACATAAAAACTAGACAGAAGCATTCTGACAAATTTCTTTGTCATGTGTGCATTCAACTCACAGAGGTTAACCTTTCTTATGATAGAGCAGTTTTGAAACACTCTTTTGGAAAATCTGCAAGTGGATATTTGGATCGCTTTGTGGCCCTTGTTGGAAACGGGAATATTCTCACATAAAAATAGGACAGAAGTATTTTCAGAAACCTCTTTGTGACGTGTGCATTCAACACACAGAGTTGATCCTTCCTTTTGATAGAGCAGTTTCGAAACACTCTGTTTTGTAGAATCGGCATGTGGATATTTTGACGGCTTTTAGGCCTGTGGTGGAAAAAGATATACCTTCACGTAGAGACTAGACAGAAGCATTCTCAGAAACCTCCTTGTGATGTGTGCATTCAACTCACAGAGTTAAAGCTTCCGTTTGATAGAGCAGTTTTGAAACACTCTTTTTGTAGAATCTGTAAGTAGATATTTGGACAACTTTGAGGAATTCTTTGGAAAAGGGAATGTCTTCAAATAACTAGACAGAAGCATTCTCAGAATCCTCTTTGGGATGTGTGCATTCAACTCACAGAGTTGAAATTTCCTTTTGATAGAGCAGTTTTGAAACACTCTTTTTGTAAAATCTGCAAGTAGACATTTGGAGTGCTTTGAGGCCTCTGGTGGAAAAGGAAATATCTTTCCATAGAAACTAGGCAGAAGCATTCTCAGAAACTTCTTTGTGGTGTGTGCATTCAAGTCACAGAGTTGAACCTTCGTTTTCATAGAGCAGTTTTGAAACACTCTCTTGTACAATCCGCAAGTGGATATTTGGACTGCTTTGCAGCCTTCATTGGAAATGGGAATGTCTTCAAATAACTAGACAGAAGCATTCTCAGAAACATCTTTGCTATCTGTGCATTTAACTCACAGAGTTGAACATTCCTTTTGAGAGAGCAGTTTGGAAAAACTCTTTTTGTGGAAACTGCAAGTGGATATTTCGACAGATTTCTGCCCTTTGTTGGAAACGGGAATATCTTCATCCAAATACTAGACAGAAGCATTCTCAGAAATTTCTTTGTAATGTGTGCATTCAACTCACAGAGTTGAAACTTCTTTTTGATAGAGCAGTTTTGAAAGACTCTTTTTGTACAATCTATAAGTGGATATTTGGGACGCTTTGAGGCCTATGGTAGAAAAGCAAATATCTTCACATAAAAACTTGACAGAAGCATTCTCAGAATCTACTTTGTGATGTATGCATTCAGCTCATAGAGATGAACTTTCTTTTGTTAGGGCAGTTTTGAAACACTCTTTTTGTAAAATATGCAAGTGGACATTTGGAGCCCTTTAAGGCCTGTGGTGAAAAACGAAATACCTTCACATAGAAACTAGACTGAAGCGTTCTCAGAAACTTCTCTTTCATGCTTGGATTCAATTCACAGAGGTGAACATTCCTTTTGATAGAGCAGTTTTGAAACACTCTTTTTGTAGAATCTGCAAGTGGATATTTGGAGCGCTTTGAGGTTATTGGTAGAAAAACAAATATCTTCACATAAATCTAGACAGGACCGTTCTCAGAAAGTAATTTGTGATGTTTGCATTCAACTCACAGAGGTGAACCTTTCTTTTGATAGAGCAGTTTTGAAACACTCTTTTTGGAGGATCTGCAAGTGCATATTTTGACCGCTTTGAAGCCTCCTTTGGAAATGGGAATATTCTAACATAAAAGCTAGACAGAAGGATTTTCAGAAACTTCTTTGTGATGTGTACATTCAACTCACAGAGTTGAACATTACTTTTGATAGGGCAGTTTTGAAACACTCTTTTTGTAGAATCCGCAAGTGGACATTTGGAGCGCTTTGAGGTCTATGGTAGAAACGCAAATACATTCAAATAAAAATTAGACAGAAGCATTCACAGAAACTTCTTTGTGATGAGTGCTTTCAACTCACAGAGTTGAACGTTCCTTTTGATAGAGCAGTTTTGAAACACTCTTTTTATAGAATCTGCAATTGGATATTTGGAGGGCTTTGAGGCCTGTGTTGGAAAAGGAAATATCTTCACATAAAGACTAGACAGAAGCATTCTCAGAAACCTCTTTGTGATGTATGCATTCAGTTCACAGAGTTGAAGCTTCCTTTTGATAGAGCAGTTTTGAAAGACTCTTTTTGTACAATCTGCAAGTGGATATTTGGAACGCTTTGAGGCCTTCGTTGGAATCCAGAATGTCCTCAAATACAAATTAGACAGAAGCATTCTAAGAAACTTCTTTGTGATCTGTGCATTCAAGTCACAGAGTTGAACCTTCCTTTTGATAGAGCAGTTTTGAATCACTCTTTTTGTAGAATCTGCAATTGAATATTTGGCGGCCTTGGGGCCTTCTGTGGAAACGGGAGTATCTTCAAATTAAAACTAGACTGAAACATTCTCAGAAGTATCTTTGTGATGTGTGCATTCAACTCACAGAGTTGAAGATTCCTTTTGATAGAACACTTTTGAAGTCCGCTTTTTGTAGAATCTGCAAGTGGATATTTGGAGCGTTTTGAAGCCTTCTTTGGAAAAGTTAATATATTCAAATAACTAGACCAAAGCATTCTCAGAAACTTATTTGTGATGTGTGCATTCAACTCACAGAGTTGAACCATCCTTTTGATAGGGAAGTTTTGAAATACTCTTTTTGTATAATCTGCAAGTGGACATTTGTAGGGTTTTGAGGTCTGAGTTGGAAACGAGAATATCCTCATATAAAAACTAGTCAGAAGCATTTTTAGAAACATCTTTGTGATGTGTGCATTCAACTCACAGAGTTGAACTTTCCTTTTGATAGAGCAGTATTGAAACACTCTTTTTGTTGAATGTGCAAATGTTCATTTGGAGGGCTTTGAGGCCTGTCGTGGAAAAGGAAATATCTTCACAGGGAAACTAGATAGAAGTATTCTCAGAAACTTCTTTTTCATGTGCGCATTCAACTCACAGAGGTGAACTTTTCTTTTGATAGAGCAGTTTTGAAACACTCTTTTTCTCGATGCTGCAAGTGGATATGTGGACCGCTTTGAGGCCTTCTTTGGAAACGGGAATATCTTCCAATAAAAACTAGACAGAAACATTCTCAGAAACTTCCTTGTGATGTGTGCGTTCAACTCACAGAGGTGAACCTTTGTTTTGAGACACTCTTTTTCCAGAACCTGCAGGGGGATATTTGGACCGCTTTGAGGTCTTTGTTAAAAACGGGAATATCCTCACTTAAAAACTAGACAGAAGCATTTTCAGAAACCTCTTTGTGATGTGTGCATTCAACTCTCAGAGTTGAACCTTCCTTTTGATAGGGCAGTTTTAAAACTCCTTTTGTAGAATCTGCAAGTGGATATTTGGAGCTCTCTGAGGCATATGGTAGAAAAAGTATCTTTATAAAGCTAGACAGAAGCATTCTCAGAAACTACTTTGTGTTAAGTGCATTCAACTCACAGAGTTGAACCTTCTTTTTGATAGAGAAGTTTGGAACACTGTTTTTGTAGAATCTGCAAGTGGATATTTGGCAGCTCTGAGGCCTTCTGTGGAAAAGGGAATATCTTCACCTAAAAACTAGACAGAAGCGTTCTGAGAAATTTCTTGGTGATGTGTGCATTCAACACACAGAGTTGAATCTTCTTTTTGATAGAGCAGTTCTGAACCACTGCTTTGAAGAATCTGCAAGTGGACATTTGGAGGGCTTTGAGGCCTGTGGTGGAAAAGGAAATATCTTCACATAGAAACTAGACAGAAGCATTCTCAGAAACTTCTTTGTCATGTGTGCATTCAACTCACAGCATTGAACCTTCCTTTTAATGGAGCGGTTTTGAAACACTCTTTGTGTAGAATCTGCAAGTGCATATTTGGCAGCTTTGAGTCCTTCTGTGGAAACGGGAATATCTTCACCTGAAAACTAGACAGAAGCATTCTCGGAAATTTCTTAGTGATGTGCGCATTCAACTCAAAAATTGAACATTCCTTTTGATAGAGCACTTTTGAAACCCTCTTTTTGCAGAATTTGCAAGTGGATATTTGGAGTGCTTTGAGGTCTATGGTAGAAAAGCAAATATCTTCATATAACAACTAGACAGTAGCATTCTCAGAAACTTCTTTCTGATGTGTGCATTCAATTCACTGAAATGAACATTCCTTTCGATAGAGCAGTTTTGAAACACTCTTTCTGTATAATCTGCAAGTGTATATTTTTGGCCGCTTTGAGGTCTGTGTTGGAAACGGGAATATCTTCAAATGAAAACTAGACAGAAGCATTCTCAGGAAGTACTTTGTGATATGTGTATTCAACTCACAGGGGTGAATATTACTTTGGAAAGGGTAGTTTTGAAACACTATTTTAGTAGTGTCTGCAAAGGGACATTTGGAGGGCTTTGAGACCTGTGGTGCAAACGGGAATATCCTCACTTAAAAACTAGACTGAAGCATTTTCAGAAACTTCTTTGTGTTGTGTGCATTCAACTTACAGAGTTGAAACTTCCTTTTGATAGAGCAGTTTTGAAACACTCTTTTTGAAGAATCTGCAAGTGGATATTTGGAACACTTTGAGGCATATAATAGAAAAGGAAATATCTTCACATAGAAAACAGACAGAAGTATTCTCAGAAACCTCTTTGTGATGTGTGCATTCAACTCAGAGAGTTGAACCTTCCTTTTGATAGAGCAGTTTTCAAACACACTTTTTGCAGAATCTGCAAGTGGATATATGGAGCGGTTTGAAGCTTATGGTAGAAAAGCAAATACCTTCGTATAAAAATAGACAGAAGCATTCTCAGAAACTTCTTTGTGATCTGTGCATTCAACTCACAGAGTTGAACATTCCTTTTGATACAGCAGTTTTGAAACACTCTTTTTGTAGAATCTGCAAATGGACATTTGTAGGGTTTTGAGGTCTGAGTTGGAAACGGGAATATCCTCACTTAAAAACTAGTCAGAAGCATTTTGAGAAACACCTTTGTGATGTGTGCATTCATCTCACATAGTTGAACCTTCTTTTTGATAGAGAAGTTTTGAAACACTCTTTTGTATAATTTTCAAGTGGATATTTTGACTCCTTTAAGGCCTTCGTTGGAAACAGGAATATCTTCAAATAAAAAGTAGAGAGAAGCATTCTCAGAAGCTTCTTTGTGATCTGTGCAATCAACTCACAGATTTGAAACTTCCTTTTGATAGAGCATGTTTGAAACACTTTTTGTAGAATCTGCAAATGTATATTTTGCAGCTTTGAGGCCTATGGTAGAAAAGCAAATATCTTCATATAAAAACTAGACAGAAGCATTCTCAGAAAGTACTTCATGATGTGTTCATTCAACTCACAGAGGTGGACCTTTCTTTTCATAGAGCAGTTTTGAAACTCTCTTTTTGGAGGATCTGCAAGTGGTTATTTGGACTGCTTTGACGCCTTCATTGGAAACGGGAATATTCTCACATAAAAACTAGAAAGAAGCATTCTCAGAAACTTCTTTCTGATGTGTTCATTCAATTCACAGAGTTGAATATTACTTTTGATAGAGCAGTTTTGAAACACTCTTTTTGTAGAATCTCCAAGTGGCCATTTGGAGCACTTTGAGGCCGATGGTAGAAAAAGAAATATCTTCAAATAAAAACTAGACAGAAGCATTCTCAGAAACTTCTTTGCGATGTGTGCATTCAAGTGACCGAGTTGAACCTTCCTTTTGAAAGAGCAGTTTAGAAACACTCTTTTTGTAGAATCTGCACGTGAACATTTGTGTGGATTTGAGGCCTGTGGTGGAAAAGGAAATACCTTCACATAGAGAGGAGACAGAGCATTCTCAGAAACTTCTTTTTTATGTGTGCATTCAACTCTCAGAGCTGAACCTTTATTTTGATAGAGCAGTTTTGAAACACTCTTTTTGTAGAATCTGCAAGGGGATACCTGGAACGCTTTGAGGCCTTCTTTGGAAACGGGAATATCCTCACTTAAGAACTAGATAGAAGCATTTTCAGAAACTTCTTTGTAACGTTGCATTCAACTCAGAGAGCTGAACCTTCCTTTTGTAGATCAGTTTTGAAACACTCTTTTTGAAGAGTCTGCAAGTGGACATTTGGAACGCTTTGAGGCCTACAGTAGTAAAGGAAATATCTTCATATGAAAACTAGACAAAAGCATTCTCAGAACCTTCTTTGTGATGTGTGCATTCAACTCACAGAGTTGAACCTTCTTTTTGATAGAGAAGTTTAGAAATACTCCTTTTGTAGAATCTGCAAGTGGATATTTTGACTGCTTTGAGGCCTTCATTGGAAATGGGAATATCTTCAAATAAAAACTAGACAGAAGCATTCTCAGAAACTCCTTTCTGATCTGTGCATTCAACTCACAAAGTTGAAACTTCCCTTTGATAGAGCAGTTTTGAAACACTCTTTTTGTAAATCTGCAAGTGGACATTTGGAGGGCTTTGAGGCCTGCGGTGGAAACGGGAATATCCTCACTTAAAAACAAGGCCGGAGAATTTTAAGAAACTTCTTTGGGATGTGTGCATTCAACCACAGAGTTGAGCCTTCCTTTCGATAGAGCAGTTTTGAAACAGTCTTTTTGAAGTATCTGCAAGTGGACATTTGGAGTGCTTTGAGGCCTATGGTAGAAAAGGAAATATCTTCACGTTAAAACTAGACAGAAGTATTCTCAGAATCATCTTTGTGTTGTGTGCATTCAACCCACAGAGTTGAACCCTCCTTTTGATAGCGCAGTTTCAAAACACTCTTTTGGGAATCTGCAAGTTGATACTTGGAGCGCTTTGAGGCCTGTGGTAGAAAAGAAAGTATCTTCATATAAAACAAGGCAGAAGCATTCACAGAAACTTCTTTGCGATGTGTGCATTCAACTCAGAGAGGTGAACCTTTCTTTTGATAGAGCAGTTTTGAAACACTCTATTTGGAGAATCTGCAAGTGGATATTTGGACCACTTTGAGTCCTTCGTTGGAAACGGGATTATTCTCACATAAAAACTAGACAGAAGCATTTTTAGAAACTCCTTTGTGATGGGTGCATTCACCTCCACGAGTTGAACATTACTTTTGATAGAATAGTGTTGAAAGCCTGTTTTTGTTGAATCTCCAATTGGACATTTAGAGTGCTTAGAATCCTACCGTAGAAAAGGAAAGATCTTCAAATGAAAACCAGACAGAAGCATTCTCAGAAATTACTTTGTGATGTGTGCATTCAACTCACAGAGACGAACATTTCTTTTGATAGGGAAGTTTTGAAACACTCTTTTTGCAGAATCTGCAAGTGGACATTTGGACCGATTTAAGTCCTGTGTTGGAAAAGGAAATATCTTCCATAGAAACTAGACAGAAGCATTCTCAGAAACTTCTTTGTGATGTCTGTACTCAACTCACAGAGGTGAACCTTCCTTTTGATAGAGCAGTTTAGAAACACTCTTTTTGTAGAATCTGCAAGAGGATTTTAGGAGCACTTTGAGGCCTATTGTTGAAAAGGAAATATTTTCACATAAAAACTAAAAGAAGCATTCTCAGAAAGTACTTTGTGATGTTTGCGTTCGGCTCACAGGGGTCAACTTTTGTTTTGATACAGCAGTTTTGAAACACTCTTTTTGGAGTATCTGCAAGTGGATATTTGGACCGCTTTGAGTCCTTCGTTGGAAAAGGGAATATTCCCACATAAAAACTGGACAGATGTATTTTCAGAAACTTCTTAATGATGTGTGCATTCAACTCAGAGTTTTGAACATTACTTTTGATAGAGCAGTTTTGAAACACTCTTTTTGTAGAATATGCCAGTGAACATTTGGAGAGCTTTGAGGCCTATGGTGGAAAAGGAAATATCTTCAAATGAAAACTAGACAGAAGCATTCTCAGAAACTTCTTTGTGATGTGTGCATTCAACTCACAGAGTTGAACCTTCCTTTTCATAGAGCAGTTTTGAAACACTCTTTTTGTAGAATCGGCAAGTGGACATTTTGAGGGCTTTGAGGTGTGTGGTGGAAAAGGAAATATCTTCACATAGAGACTAGATAGAAGCATTCTCAGAAGCCTCTTTGTGATGTGTGCATTCAACATACAGAGTTGAACCTTTCTTTGATAGAGCAGTTTTGAAACACTCTTTTTGTATTTTCTGCAAGTGTTCATTTGGACTGCTTTAAGGCCTGTGGTAGAAAAGGAAATATCTTCACCTAGAGAATAGACTGAAGCATTCTCGGAAACCTCTTTTTGATGTGTGCATTCAACTCACAGAGTTGAACCTTACTTTTGATAGAGCAGTTTTGGAACATTCTTTGTAAAATCTGCAAGTGGATATTTGGACCGCTTTGAGGCCTTCGTTGGAAATGAGAATGTCTTCAAATAACTAGACAGAAGCATTCTCAGAAACTTCTTTGTGATGTGTGCAGTCAACTCACAAACTTGAACACTACTTTTAATAGAGCAGTATTGAAACACTCTTTTTAAAGAATGTGCAAGTGGACATTTAGAGGGATTTGAGAACTGTGGGGGAAAAGGAAATATTTTCTCCTGGAAAGTAGACAGAAGCATTCTCAGAGCCTTCTTTGTGATGTGTGCATTCAACTCACCAAGTTGAACCTTCCTTTTGATAGAGCAGTTTGAAACACTGTTTTTGGAGAACCGGCAAGTGAGTATTTGGACTGCTTTGAGGCCTTCATTGGAAAAGGGAGTATCTTCAAATAAAAACTAGGCAGAAGTATTCTCAGAAACTTCTTTGTGTTGTGTGCATACAACTCACAGAGTTGAACCTTCTTTTTGATAGAGCAGTTTTGAAACACTCTTTTTGTAGAATCTGCAAATGGGCATTTGGATGGCTTTGAGGCCTGTGGTGGAAAAGGGAATATCTTCACATACAGAGTAGACAGAAGACTTCTCAGAAACCCCTTTGTGATGTGTGCATTCAACACATAGATTTGAACCTTTCTTTTGATAGAGCAGTTTTGAAACACTGTTTTTGTAGAATTAGCAACTGGATATTTGGAGTGCTTTGAGGCCTTCGTTGGAGATGGGAATATCTTCACATAAAAACTAGACAGAAGCATTCTCAGAAACTTCTTTGTGATGTGTGCATTCAACTCACAGAGTTGAACCTTCGTTTTGATAGAGCAGTTTTGAGACACTCTTTCTTAGAATGTGCAAGTGGATATTTGGCAGCTTTGAGACCTTCTGTGGAAACGAGAATATCTTCACCTAAAAACTAGACAGAAGCATTCTCAGAAATTTCTTTTTGATTTGTGCATTCTACTTACAGAGTGGAACATTCCTTCTGATAGGGCACTTTTGAAACACTCTTTTTGTAAAATATGCAAGTGGATATTTGGAGCGCTTTGAGGCCTATGGTAGAAAAGCAAATATCTTCATAAAAAAACTAGACAGAAGCATTCTCAGAAACTCCTTTGTGATGTGTGCATTCAACTGACAGAGTCGAACTGTTCTTTTGATAGAGCAGTTTTGAAACGCTCTTTTTGTAGAAACTGCAAGTGGACATTTGGCGGGCTTTGAGGCCTGTGGTGGAAAAGGAAAAATCTTGAAATAGATACTAGACAGAACCATTCTCTGAAAGTTTTTGTGATGTGTGCATTCAACTCACAAAGTTGAACCTTCCTTTTGATAGTGCAGTTTTGACACCCTCTTTTGGTAGAATCAGCAATTGGGTATTTGGACCGCCTTGAGGCCTTTGTTGGAAACGGGAATATCTTCAAATAAAAACTAGACAGAAGCATTCTGAGAAACTTCTTTGTTTTGTGTGCATTCAACTCGCAGAGATGAACCTTTCCTTTGATAGAGCAATTTTGAAATACTCTTGTGGTTAAATACGCAAGCGGATATTTGAACCACTTTAAGGCCTTCACTGGAAACGGGTGTATCTTCAAATAAAACCCAGAGAGAAACATTCTCAGAAACTTCTTTGTGATGTGTGCATTCAAATCACAGTGGTTAGCCTTCTTTTGATCGAGCTGTTTTGACACTCTTTTTTTTAGAATATGCAAGGTGATCTTTGGACCTCTTTGAGGCCTTTGTTGGAAAAGAGAATATCCTCACTTAAAAACTAGGCAGAAGCATTTTCAGAAACTATTTTGTGATGTGTGCATTAATCTCACAGAGTTGAACCTTCCTTTTGATAGAGTAGTTTTGAAACACTCTTTTTGAAGAATCTGCAAGTGGACATTTGGAGCGCTTTGAGGCATATGGCAGAAAAGGAAGTATCTTCATATGAAAACTAGACAGAAGCATTCTCAGAAACCTCTTTGTGATGTTTGCATTCAACTCACAGAGTTGAAAATACCTTTTCATAGAACAGTTTTGAAACACTCTTTTTGTAGAATCTGCAAGTGGATATTTGGACTGCTTTGAGGCCTTCGTTGGAAACGGGAATATCTTCAAATAAAAAGTAGACAGAAGTATTCTCAGAAACTTCTTTGTGATCTGTGCATTCAACTCACAGCATTGAACCTTCCTTTTGATAGAGCATGTTTGAAACACTCTTTTTGTGGAATGTGCAATTGGATATTTGGCAGCTTTGAGGCCTAGGGTAGAGAAGCAAATAACTTCATATAAAACTAGAAAGAAGCATTCTCAGAAACTACTTTTTGACGTGTGCAATCAACTCACAGAGTCAAACCTTTCTTTTGATAGAGCAGTTTTGAAACACTCTTTTTGTAGAATCTGCAAGTGGACATTTGGAGCGCTTTAAGTCCTATGGTGGAAAAGGAAATATCATCACATAAAAACTAGACAGAAGGAGTCTGAGCAACTTCTTTTTGATGAGTGCATTCAACTCATAGAGTTGAACCTTCTTTTTGATAGAGCAGCTTTGAAACACTCTTTTTGTAGAATCTGCAAATGGATATTTCCAGCGCTTTGAGGCCTGTGGTAAGAAGAGCAAATATATTCATATAAAAACTAGACAAAAGCATTCTCAGATAGCACTTTTTGAAGTGTGCATTCAACTCACAGAGGTGAACCTTTCTTTTGATAGAGCAGTTTTGAAACACTTCTTGTAGAATCTGCAACTGGATAGTTGGAGCGCTTTGAGGCCTATGGTAGAAAAGGAAATATCTTCAAATAAATACTAGACAGGAGCATTCTCAGAAACTTCTTTGTGATGTGTGCATTCAACACACAGAGTTGAAGCTTCTTTTTGATAGAGCAGTTTTGAAACACTCTTTTTGTAGAATCTGCAAGTGGATATTAGGACCACTTTGAGGCCTTCATTGGAAATGGGTATATCTTCAAATAGAAACTGGACAGAAGCATTCTCAGAAACTTCTTTGTGATGTGTGCATTCAACTCACAGATTTGAAATTTCCTTTTGATAGAACATTTTGAAACACTCTTTTTGCAGAACCTGCAAGTGGATATTTGGAGGGTTATGAGGCCTGTGGTGGAAAAGAAAATATCTTCACAGAGAAAATAGACAGAACCATTCTCAGAAACCTCTTTGTGATGTGTGCATTGAACTCACAGGGTCGAACCTTTCTTTTGATAGAGCAGTTTTGAAACACTCTTTGTAGAATCTGCAAGTGCATGTTTGCACCGCTTTGAGGCCTTTGTTGGAAACGGGAATGTCTTCAAACCACTACACAGAAGCATTCTCAGAAACTACTTTGCGAGGTGTGCATTCAACTCACAGAGTTGAACCTTTCTTTTGATAGAGCAGTTTTGAAACACTCTTTTTGTAGAATCTGCAAGTGGATATTTGGACGGCTTTGAGGACTTCGTTGGAAACGGAAATGTCTTGAAACCACTACACAGAAGCATTCTCAGAAACTTCTTTGTGATGTGTGCATTCAACTAACAGAGTTGAAACTTCCTTTTGACAGAGCCGTTTGGAAACACTCTTCTTTTTGTGGAATCTGCAAGTGGACATTTGGAGGGCTTTGAGGTTTGTGGTGGTAACAGGAATATCCTCACTTAAAAACTAGACAGAAGCATTTTTAGAAACTTCTTTGTGATGTGCGCATTCAACTCAAGAGTAAACCTTCCTTTTGATAGAGCGTTCTGAAACAATATTTTTGAAGAATCTGCCTCTTCACATTTGGAGAGCTTTGAGGCCAATGCTAGAGAGGGAAATATCTTCATATGAAAACTACACAAAAGCATTCTCCGAAACTTCTTTGTGATGTGTGCATTCAGCTGACAGAGTTGAATCTTCTTTGTGATAAAGAAGTTTTGAAACACTCTTTTTGTAGAATCTGCAAGTGGATATTTGGACTGCTTTGAGGCCTTTGTTGGAAACGGTAGTATCTTTGAATAAAAACTAGACAGAAGCATTCTCAGAAACTTCTTTGTGATGTCTGCATTCAACTCACAGGTATGAACTTTCCTTTTGATAGAACAGTTTTGAAACACTCTTTTTTAGAATCTGCAAGTGGACAATTGGAGGGTTTTGTGGCCTGTGGTGGAAAAGGAAATATCTTCACATAGCGACTAGATAGAAGCATTCTCAGAAACTACCTTGTGATTTGTGCATTCAACTCACAGAGTTGAACCTTCCTTTTGATAGAGAAGTTTTGAAACTCTCTTTTTGTACAATCTGCAAGTGGATATTTGGACCGTTTTAAGGCTTTCGTTGGAAAAGGGAATATCTTCAAATAAAACCTAGAGAGAAGCATTCTCAGAAACTCCTTTGTGATCTGTGCCTTCAACTCACAGAGTTGAACCTTCCTTTTGATAGAGCAGTTTTGTAACACACTTTTTATAGAATCTGCAAGTGGATATTTGGACTGCTTTGAGGCCTTCGTTGGAAACGGGAATATCTTCAAATAAAAAGTAGACAGAAGTATTCTCAGAAACTTCCTTGTGATCTGTGCATTCAACTCACAGATTTGAACCTTCCTTTTGGTAGAGCATGTATGAAACACTCTTTTTGTGGAATCTGCAAATGAATATTTGGCAGGTTTGAGGCCTACGGTAGAAAAGCAAATAACTTCATATAAAAACTAGACAGAAGCATTCTCAGAAACTTCTTTTTGATGTGTGCATTCAACTCACAGGGTCGAACCTTTCTTTTGATAGAGCAGTTTTGTAACACTCTTTTTGTAGAATCTGCAAGTGGACATTTGGAGTGCTTTAAGTCCTGTGGTGGAAAAGGAAATATCATAACATAGAAACTAGACAGAATGACTCTCAGAAACTTCTTTTTGATGTGTGCATTCAACTCATAGAGTTGAACCTTCCTTTTGAAAGGGCAGTTTTGAAACACTCTTTTTGTAGAATCTGCAAGTGGATATTTCCAGCGCTTTGAGGCCTATGGTAAGAAAAGCGAATATACTCATATAAAAACTCGAGAAATGCATTCTCAGATAGCACTTTGTGAAGTGTGCATTCAACTCACAGAGGTGAACCTTTCTTTTGATAGAGCAGTTTTGAAACACTTTTTGTAGATACTGCAACTGGATAGTTGGAGCGCTTTGCAGCCTATTTAGAAAAGAAAATATCTTCATATAAAACTACACAGAAGCATTCTCAGAAACTACTTTGTGTTGTGTGCATTGAACTCATAGAGGTGAAAGCTTTTTTTCATAGAGCAGTTTTGAAACACTCTTTTTGTAGAATCTGCAAGTGGATATTAGGACTGCTTTGAGGCCTTCATTGGAAATGGGTATATCTTCAAATAAAAACTGGACAGAAGCATTCTCAGAAACTTCTTTGTGATGTGTGCATTCAACTCACAGATTTGAAATTTCCTTTTGATAGAACATTTTGAAACACTCTTTTTGCAGAATCTGCAAGTGGACTTTTGGACCATTTTAAATCCTGTGGTGGAAAAGGAAATATCTTCCCATAGAGAATAGACAGAAGCATTCTCAGAAACCACTTTGTGATGTGTGCATTCAACTCTCATAGTTGAACCTTCCTTTTGAGAGAGAAGTTTTGAAACACTCCTTTTGTAGAATCTGCAAGTGGATATTTGGACAGCTTTGAGGCCTTCTTTGGAAATGGGAATGTCTTCAAATGACTAGACAGAAGCATTCTCAGAAACTTCTTTGTGATGTGTGCATTCAACTCACATTGTTGAACCTTCCTTTTGATCGAACAGTTTTGAAACACTCTTTTTGTAGAATCTGCAAGTGGATATTTGGACCGAATGCAGGCCTTCGTTGGAAACGGGAATGTCTTCAAATGACTAGACAGAAGCATTCTCAGAAACTTCTTTGTGATGTGTGCATTCAACTCACATTGTTGAACCTTCCTTTTGATAGAACAGTTTTGAAACACTCTTTTTGTAGAATCTGCAAGTGGATATTTGGACCGATTTCAGGCCTTCGTTGGAAAAGGGAATGTCTTCAAATAATTAGACAGAAGCATCCTCAGAAACTTCTTTGTGTTGTGTGCATTCAACTCACAGAGTTGAACCCTACTTTCCATAGAGCACTTTTGAAACACTCTTTTTGTAGAATCTGCAAGTCGATATTTCGAGTGTTTTGAGGACTATGGTAGAAAAGCATACATCTTCACATAAAAAGTAGACAGAACCATTCTCAGAAACTACTTTGTGATGTGCACATTCAACTCAGGGAGGTGAAACCTTCTTTTGATAGAGCAGTTTTGAAACACTCTTGTTCCAGAATCTGCATTCGACATTTTCATCGCTTTGAGGCCTTCGTTGAAAACGGGAGTATTCTCACATAAAAGCTAGACAGAAGCATTTTCAGAAAATTCTTTGTGATGTGTGCATTCAACTCACAGAGCTGAACATTACTGTTGATAGAGAAGTATGAAACACTCTTTTTGCAGAACCTCCAGTTGGACATTTGGAACGCTTTGAGGCCTATGGTAGAAAAGGAAATATCTTCAAATAAAAACTAGACAGGAGCATTCTCAGAAACTTCTTTGTGATGTGCACATTCAACACACAGAGTTGAACCTTCTTTTTGATAGCCCAGTTTTGAAACACTCTTTTTGTACAATCTGCAAGTAGATATTTGGAGGGCGTTAAGGCCCATGGTGGAAAACGAAATATCTTCACATAGAGACTAGACAGAAGCATTCTCAGAAACTACTTTGAGGTGTGTGCATTCAACTCACAGAGGTGAACGTTTTTTTTAATAGTGCAGTTTTGAAACACTCTTTTTGGA
The DNA here is from genome assembly GCF_000001405.40 of Homo sapiens. Taxonomy (NCBI): domain Eukaryota; kingdom Metazoa; phylum Chordata; class Mammalia; order Primates; family Hominidae; genus Homo; species Homo sapiens. Next base: position 90,438,443 of record NC_000003.12, on the reverse strand, counting down.
GAATCTGCAAGTGGAAAGTTGGACCGCTTTGAGGCCTTTGATGGATACAGGAATATTCTCACATAAAAACTAGACAGAAGCATTTTCAGAATATTCTCTGTGATGTGTATTCAACTCACAGTGTTGAACATTACTTTTGATAGAGCAGTTTTCAAACCCTCTTTTTGTGGAATCTGTAAGTGCATATTTGGAGTGCTTTGAGGCCTGTGGTTGAAAAGGTAATATCTTCACATAGAGACTAGACAGAAGCATTCTCAGAAACTACTTTGTGATGTGTGCATTCAACTCAGAGAGTTGAACCTTCCTTTTGATAGAGCAGTTTTGAAACACTCTTTTTGTAGAATCTGCAAGTGCATATTTGGACCGTTTTGAGGCATTCGTTGGAAACTGGAATATCTTCAAATAAAAACTAGACAGAAGCATTATCAGAAACTTCTTTGTGATCTGTGCATTCAACTCACAGAATTGAACATTCTTTTTGATAGAGCATTTTTGAAACACTCTTTTTGTAACATCTGCAAGTGGATATTTGGACAGCTTTGAGGCCTGTGGTGGAAACGGAAATATCTTCACATAGAAACTAGAAAGAAGCATTCTCAGAAACTTCTTTGTGATGTGTGCATTCAACTCACAGAGTTGAGCCTTCCTTTTTATAGAGCAGTTTTGAAACATTCCTTTTTTAGAGTCTGCAAGTGGATATTTGCAGCACTTTGAGGCCTAATGTGGAAAACAAATATCTTCACATAAAAACTGGATAGAAGAATTCTCAGAAAGTACTTTGTGATGTGTACATTCAACTCACAGAGGTGAACCCTTTTTTTGACACATCAGTTTTTAAACACTCTTTTTGGAGAATCTGCAACTGGATAATTGGACCACTTTGAGGCCTTCTTTGGAAACTGGTATATTCTCTCATAAAAACTAGACAGCAGCATTTTCAAAAACACCGTTGTTATGTGTGCTCTCAACTCACAGAGTTGAACATTTCTTTTGATACAACAGTTTTTACGCCCTCTTTTTGTAGAATCTCCAAGTGGACAATTGAAGGTCTTTGATGCCTATGATAGAAAAGGAAATATCTTCAAGTGAAAACTAGACAGAAACATTCTCAGAAACTTCTTCATGATGTGTGCATTCAACTCAGAGAGTTGAAACTTCCTTTTGATAAAATAGTTTTGAAACACTCTTTTTGTAGAATCTGCAAGTGGACATTTGGAGGGCTTTGAGGCCTGTGTTGGGAAAGGAAATATCTTCACATAGAGACTAGACAGAAGCATTGTCAGAAAACTCCTTGTGATGGGTGCATTCAACTCACAGAGTTGAGCCTTCCTTTTGATAGGGCAGTTTTGAAACACTCTTTTTGTAGAATCTGCAAACAGATATTTGGACCCCTTTGAGGAATTCATTGGAAAAGGGAATGTCTTCAAATAACTAGACAGAAGCATTCTCAGAAACTTCTTTGTGATGTGTGCATTCAACTCACAGAGTTGAACCTTGCTTTTGATAAAGCAGTATTGAAACACTCTTTTTGTAGGATGTGCAAGTGGACATTTGGAGGGCTCTGAAGCATGTGGTAGAAAAGGTAATATCTTCACATAGAAACTAGACAGAAGTATTCTCAGATACTACTCTGCAATGTGTGCATTCAACTCACAGAGTTGAACCTTCCTTTTGATAGAGCAGTTTTGAACCACTCTTTTTGAAGTATCTGCAATTGGACATTTGGAGCACTTTGAGGCCTACAGTAGAAAAGGAAATATCTGGAGGATCCAAGAAGGCCGAATAGGAAGAGCTCTGGTGTACAGCTCCCAGCGTGAGCGATGCAGAAGATGGGTGATTTCAGCATTTCCATCTGAGGTACTGGGTTCATCTCACTAGGGAGTGCCAGACAGTGGGAGCAGGTCAGTTGGTGCATGCACTGTGCGTGACACGAAGCAGGGTGAGGCATTGCCTCGCTCGGGAAATGCAAGGAGTCAGGGAGTTCCCTTTCCTAGTCAAAGAAAGGCATGACAGATGGCACCTGGAAAATCGGGTCACTCCTGCCCGAATACTGTACATTTCTGATGGGCTTAAAAAACGGTGCACCAGGAGATTATATCCTGCACCTGGCTCGGAGGGTCCTACGCCCATGGAGTCTCACTGATTGCTAGCACAGCAGTCTGAGATCAAACTGCAAGGCATCAGCAAGGCGGGGACAGGGGCGCCTGCCATTGCCCAGGTTTGTTTAGGTAAAAAAAGCAGCTGGGAATCTCGAACTGGGTGGAGCCCACCACAGCTCAAGGAGGCCTGCCAGCCTCTGTAGGCTCCACCTCTGAGGGCAGGGCACAGACAAACAAAAAGACAGCAGTAGCCTCTGCAGACTTAAATGCTCTTCTCTGACAGATTTGAAGAGAGCAGTTGTTCTCCCAGCATGCAGCTGGAGATCTGAGAACGGGCAGACTGCCTCCTCAATTGGGTCCCTGACCCCTGGCCCCCGAGCAGCCAAACTGGGAGGCACCCCCCAGCAGGGACAGACCAACACCTCACATGGCCGCGTACTCCAACAGACCTGCAGCTGAGGATCCCGTCTGTTAGAAGGAAAACTAACAAACAGAAAGGACATCCACACCAAAAACCCATCTGAACATCACCAACATCAAAGACCCAAAGTATATAAAGCCACAAAGATGGGGAAAAGACAGGGCAGAAAAACTGGAAACTGTAAAAAGCAGAGTGCCTCACCTCCTCCAAAGGAACGCAGTTCCTCACCAGCAACGGAACAAGGCTGGATGGAGAATGATTTTGACGAGCTGAGAGAAGAAGGCTTCAGACGATCAAATTACTCCATGCTATGGGAGGACATTCAAACCAAAGGCAAAGAAGTTGAAAACTTTGAAAAAAAATTAGAAGAATGTATAACTAGAATAAGCAATACAGAGAAGTGCTTAAAGGAGCTGATGGAGCTGAAAACCAAGGCTCGAGAACTACATGAACAATGCAGAAGCCTCAGGAGCCAATGCGATGAACTGGAAGAAAGGGTATCAGCGATGGAAGGTGAAATGAATGAAATGAAGCGAGAAGGCAAGTTCAGAGAAAAAAGCATACAAAGAAACGAGCAAAGCCTCCAAGAAATATGGGACTATGTGAAAAGACCAAATCTACGTCTGATTGGTGTACCTGAAAGTGATGGGGAGAATGGAACCAAGTTGGAAAACTCTCTGCAGGATATTACCCAGGAGAACTTCCCCAATCTAGCAAGGCAAGCCAACATTCAGATTCAGGAAATACAGAGAATGCCACAAAGATACTCCTCGAGAAGAGCAACTCCAAGACACATAATTGTCAGATTCACCAAAGATGAAATGAAGGAAAAAATGTTAAGGGCAGCCAGAGAGAAAGGTCGGGTTACTCTCAAAGGGAAGCCCATCAGACTAACAGTGGATCTCTCAGCAGAAACTCTACAAGCCAGAAGAGAGTGGGGGCCAATATTCAACATTCTTAAAGAAAAGAATTTCCAACCGAGAATTTAATATTCAGCCAAACTAAGCTTCATAAGTGAAGGAGAAATAAAATACTTTACAGACAAGCAAATGCTGAGAGATTTTGTCACCACCAGGCCTGCCCTAAAAGAGTTCCTGAAGGAAGTGCTAAACATGGAAAGGAACAACCGGTACCAGCCACTGCAAAATCATGCCAAAATGTAAAGACCATCGAGACTAGGAAGAAACTGCATCAACTAACGAGCAAAATAACCAGCTAACATCATAATGACAGGATCAAATTCACACATACCAATATTAACATTAAATGTAAATGGACTAAATGCTCCAATTAAAAGACATAGACTGGCAAAATGGATAAAGAGTCAAGACCCATCAGTGTGCTGTATTCAGGAAACTCATCTCACATGTACAGACACACATAGGCTCAAAATAAAAGGATGGAGGAAGATCTACGAAGCAAAAGGAAAACAAAAAGAGGCAGGGCTTGCAATCCTAGTCTCTGATAAAACAGACTTCTTTAAACCAACAAAGATCAAAAGAGACAAAGAAGGCCATTACTAATGGTAAAGGGATCAATTCAACAAGAAGAGCTAACTATCCTAAATATATATGCACCCAATACAGGAGCACCCAGATTCATAAAGCAAGTCCTGAGTGACCTACAAAGATATCTAGACTCCCACACATTAATAATGGGAGACTTTAACACCCCACTGTCAACATTACATAGATCAATGAGACAGAAAGTCAACAAGGATACCCAGGAATTGAACTCAGCTCTGCACCAAGTGGACCTAATATACATCTACAGAACTACCCACCCCAAATCAACAGAATACACATTTTCTTCAGCACCACACCACACCTATTCCAAAATTTACCACATAGTTGGAAGTAAAGCTTTCTTCAGCAAATGTAGAAGTACAGAAATTATAACAAACTATCTCTCAGACCACAGTGCAATCAAGCTAGAATTCAGGATTAAGAATCTCTCTCAAAACCACTCAACTACATGGAAACTGAACAACCTGCTCCTGAATGACTACTGGATACATAAAGAAATGAAGGCAGAAATAAAGATGTTCTTTGAAACCAACGAGAACAAAGACACAACATATCAGAATCTCTGGGACACATTCAAAGCCGTGTGTAGAGGGAAATTTATAGCACTAAATGCCCACAAGAGAAAGCAGGAAAGATCCAAAATTGACACCCTAACATAAACAATTAAAAGAACTAGAAAAGCAAGAGCAAACACATTCAAAATCTAGAAGAAGGCAAGAAATAACTAAAATCAGAGCAGAACTGAAGGAAATAGAGACACAAAAAACCCTTCAAAAAATTAATGAATCCAGGAGCTGGTTTTTTGAAAGGATCAACAAAACTGATAGACCACTAGCAAGACTAATAAAGAAAAAAAGAGAGAAGAATCAAATAGACGCAATAAAAAATGATAAAGGGGATATCACCACCGATCCCACAGAAATACAAACTACCATCAGAGAATACCACAAACACCTCTACGCAAATAAACTAGAAAATCTAGAAGAAATGGATAAATTCCTCGACACATACACTCTCCCAAGACTAAACCAGGAAGAAGTTGAATCTCTGAATAGAACAATAACAAGATCTGAAATTGTGGCAATAATCAATAGCTTACCAACCAAAAAGAGTCCATGACCAGATGGATTCACAGCAGAATTCTACCAGAGGTACAAGGAGGAACTGGTACTATTCTTTCTGAAACTATTCCAGTCAATAGAAAAAGAGTGAATCCTTCCTAACTCATTTTATGGGGCCAGCATCATTCTGATACCAAAGCCAGGCAGAGACACAACCAAAAAAGAGAATTTTAGACCAATATCCTTGATGAATATTGATGCAAAAATCCTCTATAAAATACTGTGAAACCGAATCCAGCAGCACATCAAAAAGCTAATCCACCATGATCAAGTGGGATTCATCCCTGGGATGCAAGGCTTGTTCAATATACGCAAATCAGAAAATGTAATCCAGCATATAAACAGAACCAAAGACAAAAACCACATGATTATCTGAATAGATGCAGAAAAGGCCTTTGACAAAATTCAACAACCATTCATGCTAAAAAGTCTCAATAAATTAGGTATTGATGGGACGTATCTCAAAATAATAAGAGCTATCTATAACAAACCCACAGCCAATATCGTACTGAATGGACAAAAACTGGAAGCATTCCCTTTGAAAATGGGCACAAGTCAGGGATGCCCTCTCTCACCACTGCTATTCAACATAGTGTTGGAAGTTCTGGGCCAGGGCAATGAGGCAGAAGAAGGAAATAAAGGGTATTCAATTAGGAAAAGAGGAAGTCAAATTGTCCCTGTTTGCAGATGACATGATTGTAAATCTAGAAAACCCCATTGTCTCAGCCCAAAATCTCCATAAGCTGATAAGCAACTTCAGCAAAGTCTCAGAATACAAAATCAATGTACAAAAATCACAAGCATTCTCATACAGCAACAACAGACAAAGAGAGAGCCAAATGATGAGTGAACTCCCATTCACAATTGCTTCAAAGAGAATAAAATACCTAGGAATCCAACTTACAAGGGATGTGAAGGACCTCTTCAAGGAGAACTACAAACAACTGCTCAAGGAAGTAAAAGAGGATACAAACAAATGGAAGAACATTCCATGCTCATGGGTAGGAAGAATCAATATCGTGAAAATGGCCATAATGCCAAAGGTAATTTACAGATTCAATGCCATCCCCATCAAGCTACCAATGACTTTCTTCACAGAATTGGAAAAAACTACTTCAAAGTTCATATGGAACCAAAAAAGAACCCGCATCACCAAGTCTATCCTAAGCCAAAAGAACAAAGCTGGAGGCGTCACACTACCTGACTTCAAACTATACTACAAGGCTACAGTAACCAAAACAGCATGGTACCAAAACAGAGATATAGATCAATGGAGCAGAACAGAGCCCTCAGAAATACGCCACATATCTACAACTATCTCATCTTTGACAAACCTGAGAAAAACAAACAATGGGAAAAGGATTCCCTATCTAATAAATGGTGCTGGGAAAACTGGCTAGCCATATGTAGAAAGCTGAAACTGGATCCCTTCCTTACACCTTATACAAAAATTAATTCAAGATGGATTAAAGACTTAAATGTTAGACCTAAAACCATAAAAACCCTAGAAGAAAACCTAGGCTTTACCATTCAGGACATAGGCATGGGTAAGGACTTCATGTCTAAAACACCAGAAGCAATGGCAACCAAAGCCAAAATTGACAAATGGAATCTAATTAAACTAAAGAGCTTCTGCACAGCAAAAGAAACTACCATCAGAGTGAACAGGCAACCTATAAAATGGGAGAAAATTTTCACAACCTACTCATCTGACAAAGGGCTAATATCCAGAATCTACAATGAACTCAAACAAATTTACAAGAAAAAAAACAAACAACCCCATCAAAAATTGGGTGAAGGACATGAACAGACACTTCTCAAAAGAAGACATTTATGCAGTGAAAAAACACATGAAAAAATTCTCACCATCACTGGCCATCAGAGAAATGCAAATCAAAACCACAATGAGATACCATCTCACACCAGTTAGAATGGCAAACATTCAAAAGTCAGGAAACAACAGTTGCTGGAGAGGATGTGGTGAAACAAGAACACTTTTACAAAGTTGGTGGGACTGTAAACTAGCTCAACCATTGTGGAAGTCAGTGTGGTGATTCCTCAGGGATCTAGAACTAGAAATATCATTTGACCCAGCCATCCCATTACTGGGTATATACCCAAAGGACTATAAATCATGCTGCTATAAAGACACATGCACATGTATGTTTATTGCGGCATTATTCACAATAGCAAAGACTTGGAACCAACCCAAATGTCCAACAATGATAGACTAGATTAAGAAAATGTGGCACATATACACCATGGAATACTATGCAGCCATAAAAAATGATGAGTTCATGTCCTTTGTAGGGACATGGATGAAATTGGAAATCATCATTCTCAGTAAACTATCGCAAGAACAAAAAACCAAACACCACATATTCTCACTCATAGGCGGCAACTGAACATTGAGAACACATGGATACAGGAAGGGGAACATCACACTCTGGGGCCTGTTGTGGGGTGGAGGTAGGGGTAGGGATAGCATTGTGAGATATACCTAATGCTAGATGACCAGTTACTGGGTGCAGCGCACCAGCATGGCAAATGTATACATATGTAACTAACCTGCACATTGTGCACATATACCCTAAAACTTAAAGTAAAATACAAAAAAAAGAAAAGGAAATATCTTCATATGAAAACGACATGAAAATCATTCTCAGAAACATCTTTGTGATGTGTGCATTCAACTTACAGACTTGAACCCTCTTTTTGATAGAGAAGTTTTGAAACATTATTTTTGTAGAATCTGCAAGTGGTCATTTGGAGGACTTTGACGCCTGTGTTGGAAACGGGAATATCCTCACTTAAAAAATAGACAGAATCCATCTGAGAAACTTCTTTGTGATGTGTTCATTCAACTCACAGAGTTGAACCTTCTTTTTGATAGAGATGTTTTGAAACATTCTTTTTGTATAACCTGCAATTGGATATTTGGACTGCTTTGATGCTTTCGTCGGAAACGGGAATATCTTCAAATAAAAACTAGACAGTAGCATTCTCCGAAACGTCTCTTTTATGTGTGCATTCAACTCACAGATTTGAACCTTCCTTTTGATAGAACAGTTTTGAAACCCTCTTTTTGTAGAATCTGCAAGTGGACATTTGGAGGGTTTTGAGGCCTATGGTGGAAAAGGAAATATCTTCACATAGAAAGTAGACGGAACCATTCTCAGAAACCACTTTGTGATGTGTGCATTCAACTCACAGAGTTCAACCTTTCTTTTGATAGAGCAGTTTTGAAACACTCTTTTTCTACAATCTGCCAGTGGATATTTGGACCGCTTTGAGGCCTTTGTTGGAAAAGTGAATATCTTCAAATAACTAGACAGAAGGATTCTCAGAAACTTCTTTGTGATGTGTTCATTCAACTTACAGAGTTGAACCTTCCTTTTGATAGACCAGTTTTGAAACACTCTTTGTAGAACAGGCAAGTGGATATTTGGAGCGCATTGAGGCCTATGGTAGAAAAGCAAATATCTTCACATAAAAACTAGATGGAAGCATTCTCAGAAAGTACTTTGTGATGTGGGCATTCAACTCACAGAGGTGAACTTTTCCTTTAGTAGAGTAGTTTTGAAACACTCTTTTTGGAGAATCTGCAAGTGGATATTTGGACCGCTTTGAGGCCTTCATTGGAAACGGGGATATTCTCACATAAAAACTAGATAGAAGCATTTTCAGAAACTTATTTGTGTTGTGTGCATTCAACTCACAGATTTGAAGCTTCCTTTTGATACAGCAGTTTTGAAACACTCTTTTGTAGAATCTCTAAGTGGACAATTGGAGCGCTTTGAGGCCTATGGTAGAAAAGCAAGTATCTTCACATAAAAAGTAGACAGAAGCATTCTCAGAAAGTACTTTGTGATGTGTGCATTCAACTCACAGAGGTGACCTTTCTTTTGATATAGCAGTTTTGAGACACTCTTTTTGTAGAATCTGCAAGTGGATATTTGGAGCGCTTTTAGGCCTATAGTAGGAAAGAAATTTTCTTCATATAAAACTAGACAGAAGCATTCTCAGAAACTTCTTTGTTATGTGTGCATTCAGCTCACAGAGGTGAACCTTTCTTTTGAAAGAGAAGTTTTGAGACACTCTTTTTGGAGAATCTGCAAGGGGATATTTGGAACTCTTTGAGGCCTTCATTGGAAATGGGAATATCCTAACTTAAAAGCTAGACAGAAGCATTTTCAGAAACTTCTATGTGATGTGTGCATTCAACTCACAGAGTTGAGCCTTCCTTTTGATAGAGCAGCTTTGAAACAGTCTTTTGAAGAATCTGAAAGTGGACATTTGGAGCGCTTTGAGGAATATGGTAGGAAAGGAAATATCTTCACATAGAAACTAGACAAAAGTATTCTCAGAAACCACTTTTTGATGTGTGCTTTCAACCTACGAGTTGAACCTCCCTTTTGAAAGAGCTGTTTTGAAACACTCTTTTTGTAGAATCTGCAAGTGCATATTTGGAGCGCTTTGAAGCCTATGGTAGAAAAGCAAATATCTTCATATAAAACTAGACAGAAGTATTCTCAGAAACTACTTTGTGATGTGTGCATTCAGCTAACAGAGTTGAACCGTTCTTTTGACAGAGAAGTTTTGAAACAGTCTTTTTTTTAGAATCTGCAAGTGGATATTTGGAACGCTTTGAGGCCTTCATTGGAAACGTGTGTTTCTTCAAATAAAAACTAGACAGAAGGATTCTCAGAAACTCCTTTGTGATGTGTGCATTCAACTCACAGAGGTGAACTTTTCTTTTGTTAGAGCAGTTTTGAAACACTCTTTTTGTAGACTCTGCAAGGGGAAGTTTGGAGCGCTTTGAGGCCTTCATTGGAAAGGGGAATATTCTCACATTAAAACTGGACAAGAAGCATTTTCAGAAACATCTTTGTGATTTGTGCATTCAACTCAGAGAGTTGCACCGTCCTCTTGATGGAACAGTTTTGAAACACTCTTTTTGTAGAATCTGCAAGCTGACATTTGGAGGGATTTGAGGCCTGAGGTGGAAAAGGTAATATCTTCACATAGAGACTAGACAGAAGAATTCTCAGAAATCTCTTTATGATGTGTGCATTCAACTCACAGAGTTGAACCTTCCTTTTGATAGAGCAGTTTTGAAACACTCTTTTTGTAGAATCTGCAAGTCGATATTTTGACTGTTTGAAACCTTCGTTGGAAACGGGAATGAATTCAAATAACTAGACAGACGCATTCTCAGAAACTTCTTTGTGATTTGTGCATTCAATTCACAGAACTGAACCTTCCTTTTAATAGAGCAGTTTGAAACACTTTTTTTGATGGATCTGCAAGTGGGTATTTGGACTGCTTTGAGGCGTTCGTTGGAAAAGGGAATATCTTGGAATAAAAACTAGACAGAAGCATTCTCAGAAACTTCTTTGTGATCTGTTCATTCAACTCACAGAGTTGAACATATTTTTTGATAGAGGAATTTTGAAACATACTTATCGTAGAATCTGCAAGTGGATATTTGGACTGCTATGAGGCCTTCGTTGGAATCGGGATTATCTCCGAAAAAAAACAGACAGAAGCATTCTCAGAAACTTCTTTGTGATGTGTGCATTCAACTCACAGATTTGAAACTTCCTTTTGATAACACAAATTTGAAACACTCTTTTTGTAGAGTCTGCAAGTGGACATTTGGAGGGTTTTGAGAACTGTGGTGGAAAAGGAAATATCTTCACATAGAAACTAGACAGAACTATTCTCAGAAACCTCTTGCGATGTGTGCATTCAACTCACAGAGTTGAACCTTCCTTTTGATAGAACGGTTTTGAAACACTCTTTTTGTATAATTTGCAAGTGGATATTTCGAACGCTTTGAGGCCTTCGTTGGAAACGGGAATATTCTCAAATAAAAACTAGACAGAAGCATTCTCAGACACTTCTTTGTGATGTGTGCATTCAACTCACCAAGTTGAACCTTCCTTTTGATAGAACAGTTTTGAAACACTCATTTTATAGAATCTGCAAGTGGATATTTGGACAGTTTTGAGGCCTTCGTTGGAAACGGGACTATCTTCAACTAAAAACTAGACAGAGGAATTCTCAGAAATTTCTTTGTGATGTATGCATACACCTCACAGAGTTCAACCTTTCTTTTGATAGAGCAGTTTTGAAACACTCTTTTTGTAGTATTGACAAGTTGACATTTGGAGCGCTTTAAGGCCTGTGGGGAAAAGGAAATATCTTCAAATAGACACTACACAGAAGCATTCTCAGAAATTTCTTTGTGATGTGTGCATTCAACTCCCAGAGTTGAACCTTCTTTTTTATAGAGTAGTTTTGAAACACTCTTTTTGTAGAATCTGCAAGTGAAGATTTGGAGTGCTTCGAGGCCTATGGTAGAAAAGCGAATATCTTCACATAAAAACTAGACAGAAGCATTCTAAGAAAGTGTTTTGTGATGTGTGCATTCTACTCACAGAGGTGAACCTTTCTTTTGATACAGCAGTTTTGAAACACTCTTTTTGGAGAATCGGCAGGTGAATATTGGGTCAGCTTGTAGGCCTTCGTTGGAAACGGGAATATTCTCACATAAAAATTAGGCAGAAGCATTCTCAGAAAGTACTTTGTGATGTGTGCATTCAACTCACAGAGTTGAACATTACTTTTGATAGAGCAGGTTTGAAACACTCTTTTTGTAGAATCTGCAAGTGGACATTTGGAGCACTTGGAGGCCTAGGGTAGAAAAGGAAATATCTTCAAATAAAACCTAGACAGAAGCATTTTCAGAAACTTCTTGGTGATGTGTGCATTCAACTCACAGAGTTGAACAATATTTTTCATAGAGCAGTTTTGAAACAGTCTTTTTGTAGAATCTGCAAATGGACATTTGAAGCACTTTGAGACCTATGCTTGAAAAGGAAATATCTTCATATAAAAACTAGACAGAAGCATTCTCAGAAACTTCTTTTTTATGTGTGCATTCAACTCAAAGAGTTGAACCTTCCTTTTGGTAGAGGAGTTTTGAAGCACTCTTTTTGTAACAAACTATAGAAATGATCCCTGAAAGTACAGTCTTGAAGCACTCTTTTTGTAGAGTCTGCAAGTGGATATTTGGAGGGTTTTGAGGCCTGTGGTGGAAAAGGAAATATCTTCCCATAGAAAGTAGACAGAACTATTCTCAGAAACCTCTTCGTTATGTGTGCATTCAACTCACATAGTTGAACCTTCCTTTTGATAGAGCTGTTTTGAAACACTCTTTTTGTAGAATCTGCAGGTGGATATTTGGACCGCTTTGAAGCCTTCATTGGGAACGGGAATATCTTCAAATGACTAGACAGAGGCATTCTCAGAAACTTCTTTGTGTTGTGTGCATTCATTTAACAAATTTGACCCTTCCTTTTGAAAGAGCAGTTTAGAAACCATCTTTTTATAGAATCTGCAACTGGACATTTGGAGGGCTTTGAGTCCTGTGGTGGAAAAGGAAATATCGTTACATAGAAACCAGACGGAAGCATTCTCAGAAACTTCTTTGTGATGTGTGCCTTCAACTCACAGAGTAGAACCTTCCTTTTGATAGAGCAGTTTTGAAAAACTCTTTTCGTATAATCTGCAAGTGGATATTTGGAACTCTTTAATGCCTTCGTTGGAAACGGGAATATCTAAAAATAAAAACTAGACAGAAGCATTCTCAGAAACTCCTTTGTGATGTGTGTCTTCAACTCTCAGAGTTGAACCTTCCTTTTGATAGAGCAGTTTTGAAACACTCTTTTCATAGAATCTGCAAGTGGATATTTGGACCGCTTTGTGGCCTTCGTTGGAAGGGGAATATTCTCACATAAAAGCTATACAGAAGAACTTTCAGAAAATTCTTTGTGATGTGTGCATTCATCTCACAGAGTTGACCATTCCTTTTGATAGAGCAGTTTTGAAACACTCTTTTTAGAGAATCTCCAAGTGGACATTTGGAGCGCTTTGAGGTCTATGGTAGAAAAGGAAATATCTTCAAATAAAAATTAGACAGAAGCTTTTTCAGAAACTCCTTTGTGATGTGTGCATTCAACTCAGAGATTAGAACATTCTTTTTGATAGAGGACTTCTGAAACCCTCTTTTTGTAGAATCTGCAAGTGGATATTTGGATCGCTTTGAGGCGTATGATGGAAACGCAAATATCTTCATATAAAAACTAGACAGAACCATTCTCAGAAACTTCTTTACGATGTGTGCATTCAACTTACAGAGTCGAACCTTTCTTTTGATAGAGCAGTTTTGAAACACTTATTTTGAAGGATCTGTAGTTGGACATTTGGAGCGCTTTGAGGCCTGTGGTGGAAAAGGAAATATCTTCACATAGAAACTAGACAGAAGCATTCTCAGAAACTTCTCTGTCACATGTACATTCAGCTCACAGAGTTGAACCTTCCTTTTGATAGAGCAGTTTTGAAACCCTCTTTTTGTGGAATCTGCAAGTGGATATTTGGACCACTTTGAGGCCTACAGTTGAAATGTTAATATCTTCATATAAAAACTAAACAGAAGCATTCTCAGAAACTTCTTGGTGAAGTGTGCATTCAACTCACAGAGTCGAACCTTACTTTTGATAGAGCAGTTTTCAAACACTCTTTTTGTATAATCTGCAAGTGGCTATTTGAAACACTTTGAGGTCTTCATTGGAAATGGAAATATCGTCAAATAAAAACTGGACAGAAGCATTCTCAGAAACTTGTTTGTGATCTGTGCATTCAACTCACAGTGTTGAACTTTCCTTTTGATTGAACAGTTTTGAAAAAATATTTTTATAGAATCTGCAAGTGAATATTTGGACAGATTTGAAGCCTATCGTTGAAAAGCAAATATCTTCACCTAATCACTAGACAGAAGCATTCTCAGAAAGTTTTTTGTAATGTGTGTATTCAACTCACAGAGGTGAACCTTTCTTTTAACGGAGCAGTTTTGAAACACTCTTTTGGTAGTATCTGCAAGTGGATATTTTGAGCACTTTGAGGCCTAAGGTAGAAAAGTAAATATCTTCACATAAAAACTAGACAGAAGTATTCTCAGAAATTTCTTTGGGATGTGTGCATTCAACTCACAGAGTTGAAAATTCCTTTTGATAGAGCACTTTTGAAACCCTCTTTTTGTAGAATCTGCAAGTGGATATTTGGAGCGTTTTGAGGCATTCGTTGGAAAAGGGAATGTCTTCAAATAATTAGACTGAAGCATTCTCAGAGACTTCTTTGTGATGTGTGCATTCAACTCACAGAGTTGAACCATCCTTTTGATATGGCATTTTTGAAACACTCTTTTTGAAGACTCTGCAAGTGGATATTTGGACCGCTTTGAGGCCTTATTTGGAAATGGGAATATCTTCAAATAAAAACTATTTAAAAGAATTCTCAGAAACTTCTTTGTGATCTGTGCATTCAACTCACAGAGTTGAACGTTCCTGTTGATACAGCAGTTTTGAAACACTCTTTTTGTAGAATCTGCATGTGGACATTTGTAGGGTTTTGAGGTCTGAGGTGGAAACGGGAATATCCTCACATAAAAACTAGTCAGAAGCATTTTGAGAAACATTGTTGTGATGTGTGCATTCAACTCACAGAGTTGAACCTTCCTTTTGATAGAGAATTTTGAAACAGTCTTTTGTAGAATCTGCAATTGAATATTTGGATCACTTTGAGGCCTATGATAGAATAGCAAACATCTTCATGTAAAACTAGACAGAAGCATTCTCAGAAATGTCTTCTTGATGTCTGCATTCAACTCACAGAGGTAAACTTTTCTTTTGATAGAGCAGTTTTGAAACACTCTTTTTGTCGAATCTGCAAGGGGATATTTGGACTGCTTTGAGGACTTCGTTGGAAACGGGAATATCCTCACTTAAAAACTAGACAGAAGCATTTTCAGAAACTACTTTGTGGTGTGTGCATTAAACTCACAGAGTTGAACCTTCATTTTGGTAGAGCAGTTCTGAAACCCTCTTTTTGTAGAATCTGCATGTGGACATTTTGAGGGCATTTAGGCCTGCGGTGGAAACGGGAATATCCTCACGTAAAAACTAGACAGAAGGATTTTCAGAAAGTACTTTGTGATGTGTGCATTCAACTCACAGAGATGAATCTTTTTTTGATAGAGCCATTTTGAAACACTCTTTTTTAAGTATCTGCAAGTTGATATTTACAGCGCTTTGAGTCCTGTGGTAGTAAAGGAAATATCCTCACATAGAAACTAGAAAGAAGTTTTCACAGAATCCTCTTTGTGATGTGTGCATTCAACTCACAGAGTTGAACCTTCCTTTTGATAGAGCAGTTTTGAAACACTCTTTTTGTAGAATCTGCAAGTGGATATTTGGAGCGCTTTGAGGCCTATCGTAGAAAACAAATTATCTTCATATAAAACTTGACAGAAGCATTCACAGAAACTTCTTTGTGATGTGTGCATTCAACTCACAGAGTTGAGCCTTCCTTTTGGAAGAGCAGTTTTGAAAAACTCTTTTTGAAGAATCTGTAAGTGGACATTTGGAGTGCTTTGTGGCCTTCATTGGAAATGGGAATACCATCAAATAAAAAGCAGACAGAAGCATTCTCATAAACTTCTTTGTGATGTGTGCATTCAACTCACAGAGTTGAATTTTCTTTTTGACAGAGCAGTGTTGAAACACTCTTTTTGTAGAATCTGCAAGTGGGTATTTGGACAGCTTTGAGGACTTCGTTGGAAACGGGAATATTTTCACCTAAAAACTAGACAGAAGCATTCTCAGAAATTTATTAGTGATGTGTGCATTCCATTCAGAGATTTGAACATTCTTTTTGATAGAGGACATTTGAAACCCTCTTTTTGTAGAATCTGCAAGTGGATATTTGGATCGTTTTGAGGCCTATGGTGGAAACACAAATATCTTCATATAAAAAACTAGACAGAACCATTCTCAGAAACCTCTTTATGATGTGTGCACTCAACTCACAGAGTTGAACCTTTCTTTTGATAGAGCAGTTTTGAAACACTTATTTTGAAGAATTTGCAGTTGGACTTTTGGAGCGCTTTGAGGCCTGTGGTGGAAAAGGAAATATCTTCACATAGAAAATAGACAGAAGCATTCTCAGAAACTTCTCTGTCATGTGTGCATTCAACTCACAGAGTTGAACCTTCCTTTTGATAGAGCAGTTTTGAAGCACACTTTTTGTGGAAGCTGTCAGTGGATATTTGGCAACTTTGAGGCCTTCTCTGGATATGGGAATATCTTCAAACAAAAACTATACTGAAGCATTCTCAGAAACTACTTTGAGATGTGTGCATTCAACTCACAGAGGTGAACATTTCTTTTGATAGGGCAGTTTTGAAAAACTCTTTTGGTCGAATCTGCAAGTGGATATTTGGACCGCTTTGAGGCCTTTGTTGGAAATGGGAATATCTTCAAATAAACACTAGATAGAAGAATTCTCAGAAACTAGTTTTTGATGTGCGCATTGAACTCTCAGTGTTGAACCTTCCTTTTGATAGAGCAGTTTTGAAACAATCTTTTTGTAGAATCTGCAAGTGGACATTTGAGTACTTTGAGGCCTATGATAGAAAAGGTAATATCCTTATAAATAATAGACAGAAGAATTCTCAGAAACTACCTTGTGATGTGTGCATTTAACTCACAGAGGTGAAGCTGTCTTTGGATAGACCAGTTCTGAAACACACTTTTTGTAAATATCTGCAAGTGGATATTTGGACCGCTTTGAGGCCTTTGTTGGAAACGGGAATATCCTTACATAAGAACTAGAAAGAATTCTGTGAAGAAAGTAATTGGTAGCTTGATGGGGATGGCATTGAATCTGTAAATTACCTTGGGCAGTATGGCCATTTTCACGATATTGATTCTTCCTACCCATGAGCATGGAATGTTCTTCCATTTGTTTGTATCCTCTTTTATTTCATTGAGCAGTGGTTTGTAGTTCTCCTTGAAGAGGCCCTTCACATCCCTTCTGAATTGGATTCCTAGATATTTTATTCTCTTCGAAGCAATTGTGAATGGGAGTTCACTCATGATTTCGCTCTCTGTTTGTCTGTTGTTGGTGTATAAGAATGCTTGTGATTTTTGTACACTGATTTTGTATCCTGAGACTTTGCTGAAGTTGCCTATCAGCTTAAGGAGATTTTGGGCTGAGACAATGGGGTTTTCTAGATTTACAATCATGTAGTCTGCAAACAGGGACAATTTAACTTCTTCTTTTCCTAATTGAATACCCTTTATTTCTTTCTCCTGCCTAATTGCCCTGGCCAGAACTTCCAACACTATGTTGAATAGGAGTGGTGAGAAAGGGCATCCCTGTCTTGTGTCAGTTTTCAAAGGGAATGCTTCCAGTTTTTGCCCATTCAGTACGATATTGGCTGTGGGTTTGTCATAGATAGCTTTTATTATTTTCAGACACGTCCCATCAATACCTAATTTATTGAAAGTTTTTAGCATGAAGGGTTGTTGAATTTTGTCAAAGGCCTTTTCTGCATCTACTGAGATAATCATGTGGTTTTTGTCTTTGGTTCTGTTTATATGCTGGATTACATTTACTGATTTGCATATATTGAACCAGCCTTGCATCCCAGGGTTGAAGCCCACTTGATCATGGTGGATAAGCTTTTTGATGTGCTGCTGGATTCGGTTTGCCAGTATTTTATTGAGGACTTTTGCATCAATGTTCATCAAGGATATTGGTCTAAAATTCTCTTTTTTGGTTGTGTCTCTGTCTGGCTTTGGTATCAGAATGATGCTAGCCTCATAAAATGAGTTAGGGAGGATTCCCTCTTTTTCTA
Source organism: Homo sapiens (assembly GCF_000001405.40). NCBI lineage: Eukaryota > Metazoa > Chordata > Mammalia > Primates > Hominidae > Homo > Homo sapiens. The sequence goes on along the minus strand of NC_000003.12, from coordinate 90,420,513 downwards.
TTGATTGGAATAGTTTCAGAAGGAATGGTACCAGTTCCTCCTTGTACCTCTGGTAGAATTCGGCTGTGAATCCATCTGGTCCTGGACTCTTTTTGGTTGGTAAACTATTGATTATTGCCACAATTTCAGATCCTGTTATTGTTCTATTCAGAGATTCAACTTCTTCCTGGTTTAGTCTTGGGAGAGTGTATGTGTCGAGGAATGTATCCATTTCTTCTAGATTTTCTAGTTTATTTGTGTAGAGGTGTTTGTAGTATTCTCTGATGGTAGTTTGTATTTCTGTGGGATCGGTGGTGATATCCCCTTTATCATTTTTTATTGCATCTATTTGATTCTTCTCTCTTTTTTTCTTTATTAGTCTTGCTAGTGGTCTATCAATTTTGTTGATCCTTTCAAAAAACCAGCTCCTGGATTCATTGATTTTTTGAAGAGCTTTGTGTCTCTATTTCCTTCAGTTCTGCTCTGATTTTAGTTATTTCTTGCCTTCTGTTAGCTTTTGAATGTGTTTGCTCTTGCTTTTCTAGTTCTTTTAATTGTGATGTTAGGGTGTCAATTTTGGATCTTTCCTGCTTTCTCTTGTAGGCATATAGTGCTATAAGTTTCTCTCTACACACTGCTTTGAATGTGTCCCAGAGATTCTGGTATGTTGTGTCTTTGTTCTCGTTGGTTTCAAAGAACATCTTTATTTCTGCCTTCATTTCGTTATGTACCCAGTAGTCATTCAGGAGCAGGTTGTTCAGTTTCCATGTAGTTGAGCGGCTTTGAGTGAGATTCTTAATCCTGTAAAGTTCATATGGAACCAAAAAAGAGCCCGCATAGCCAAGTCAATCCTAAGCCAAAAGAACAAAGCTGGAGGCATCACACTACCTGACTTCAAACTATACTACAAGGCTACAGTAACCAAAACAGCATGGTACTGGTACCAAAACAGAGATATAGATCAATGGAACAGAACAGAGCCCTCAGAAATAACGCCACATATCTACAACTATCTGATCTTTGACAAACCTGAGAAAAACAAGAAATGGGGAAAGGATTCCCTATTTAATAAATGGTGCTGGGAAAACTGGCTAGCCATATGTAGAAAGCTGAAACTGGATCCCTTCCTTACACCTTATACAAAAATCAATTCAAGATGGATTAAAGATTTAAACATTAGACCTAAAACCATAAAAACCCTAGAAGAAAACCTAGGCATTACCATTCAGGACATAGGCGTGGGCAAGGACTTCATGTCCAAAACACCAAAAGCAATGGCAACAAAAGACAAAATTGACAAATGGGATCTAATTAAACTAAAGAGCTTCTGCACAGCAAAAGAAACTACCATCAGAGTGAACAGGCAACCTACAACATGGGAGAAAATTTTCACAACCTACTCATCTGACAAAGGGCTAATATCTAGAATCTACAATGAACTCAAACAAATTTACAAGAACATCACTTTTCATAGAGAAGTTTTGGAACAGCCTTTTTGTAGAATGTGCCTGTGTATATTTATAAGTCTTTGAGGCCTGTGGTGGAAAAGGAAATATCTTCACATAAAAACTAGACAGAGGGATTCTCAGGAACTTCTTTGTGATCTGTGCATTCAACTAACAGGCTCGAACCTTTCTTTGATAGAGCAGTTTTGAGACACTCGTTGTGAAGAATCTGCAAGTGGACATTTGGAGGGCTTTAAGGCCTGTGGTGGAAATGGAAATATCTTCACACAGAAACTAGAGAGAAACTTTCTCAGAAACTTGTGTGTGATGTGTGCATTCAACTCACAGAGTTGAACTTTCCTTTTGATAGAGCAGTTTTGAAACACTCTTTTTGTAGAATCTGCAAGTGGATATTTGTAGTGATTTGACGCCTATGGTAGAAAAGCAAATATCTTTATATAAAAACTAGACAGAAGCATTCTCAGAAACTTCTTTGTGATGTGTGCATTCAACTGACAGAGTTGAACTTTCCTTTTCATAGAGCAGTTTTGAAACAGTATTTTTGTAGAAACTGCAAGTGTACATTTGGAGGGCTTTGAGGCCTGTGCTGGAAAAGGAAATATCTTCACTTAAACACTGGACAGAAACATTCTCAGAAACTTCTTTGAGATGTGTGCATTCAACTCACAAAGTTGAACCTATCTTTTGATAGAGCAGTTTTGATACCCTCTTTTTGTAGAATCTGCAAGTAGACATTTGGACAGCTTTGAGGCGTTCTGTGGAAACAGGAATATCTTCACCTGTAAACTAGACAGCGGCATTCTCAGAAACTTCTTTGTGATGTGTGCATTCAACTCACAGAGTTGAAACTTTCTTTCGATAGAGCAGTTTTGAAATACTCTTTTTGTAGAGTTTGCAAGAGGAAATGTGGAGCGCTTTGAGGCCTATGGTAGAAAAGGTGATATCTTCATATAAAAACTAGACAGAACCATTCTCACAAACCACTTTGTGATGTGTGCATTCAACTCACAGAGTTGAAACTTCCTTTTGATGGAGCAGTTTTGAAACACTCTTTTTGTAGAATCTGCAAGTGTATATTTGGACGGCTTTGAGGCCTTTGGTGGAAACGGCAATATCTTCACATTAAAAACTAGATAGAAGCACTCTGAGAAACTTCTTTGTGATGTGTGCATTCAACTCACAGAGTTGAACCTTCCCTTTCATAGAGCAGTTTTGAAACACTCTTTTTGTAGAATCTGCAAGTAGATATCTGGAGCGCTTTTAGTCCTGTGGTGGAAAAGGGTGTATCTTCACATAACTAGTAGAAAGAATCATTCTCAGAAACTTCTTTGTGATGTATGCATTCAACTAACAGGGTTAAACTTTTCTTTTTATAGAGCAGTTTTGAAAAACGCTTTTTGTAGGATCTGCAAGTGGATATTTGGAGCTCTTTGATGCCTATGGTGGAAACGGGAATGTCTTCACACAAAAAGTAGACAGAAGCATTCTCTGAAACTTCTTTGATGTGTGCATTCAACTCAGAGAGTTGAACCTTCCTTTTGATAGAGCAGTTTTGAAACACTCTTTTTGTAGAATCTGCAAGTGGATATTTCTAGCGCTTTGAGGCCTATGGTACGAAAGGAAATATCTTCACATAAAAACTATACAGAAGCATTCTCAGAAACTACTTTGTGATGTGTGCACTCATCTCACAGTATTCAACCTTTCTTTTGATTGAGCAGTTTTGAAACAGTCGTTTTGTAGAATCTGCAAGTGGACATTTGGAGCTCGTTGATTCCTATGGTGGAAAATGAAGTATCTTCCCATAAAGAGTGGACAGAAGCATTCTCAGAAACTTCTTTGTGATGTTTGCATTCAACTCGAAGAGTTGAACATTCCTTTTCATAGAGGAGTTTTCAAACAGTGTTTTTGTAGAATCTGCAGGTGGATATTTGGACAGATTTCAGGCCTTTGGTGGAAACGGGAATATCTTCACATAAAAATTAGACAGAAACATTCGCAGAAACTTCTTTGTGATGTGTGCTTTCAACTCAGAGAGTTGAAACTTCCTTTAGATAGAGAAGTTCTGAAACACTGTTTTTGTAGGAACGCAAGTGGATATTTGTAGTGCTTTGGGGCCTTCGGTGGAAAAAGGGAATATCGTCACAAGAAAACTAGACAGAAGCATTCTCAAAATCTTCTTTGTGACTTGTGCATTCAAATTAGAGAGCTGAACCTTCCTTTTGATAGAGTAGTTTTGGAACAGTCTTTCTGTGGAATCTGCAAGTGGATATCTGGAGATCTTTGTGGCCTGCGGTGGAAACAGGAATATCTTCACACAAAAACTAGAGAGAAGCATTCTCAGAAAGTTCTTTGTGATGTGCACATTCAACTCACAGAGTTGAACCTTCCTTTGATAGAGTAGTTTTGAAACACACTTTCTGTAGAATCTGCAAGGGGACATTTGGAGAGCTTTGAGGTCTGCGTTGGAAACGGGAATATCTTCACATAAGAAGTAGACAGAAGCATCCTTAGAAAGTCGTTTGTGATGTGTGCATTCAATTCACAGAGTTGAACATTACTTTTGGTAGATCAGTTTTTGAAACACTCTTTTTGTAGAATCTGCAAGTGGATAATTGGAGCTCATTGAGGCCTATGGGAGAAAAGGAAATATCATCATATAAAAACTAGAGAGAGGAATTCTTAGAAACTACTTTGTGATGTTTGCATTCAACTCACAGAGTTGAACCTTGCTTTTCATAGAGCAGTTTTGAAACACTCTTTTTGTAGAATCTGTAAGTGGATATTTGGAGCGTTTTGAGGTCTATGGTAGAAAAGGAAATATCTTCATAGAAAAGCTAGACAGAAGTAATCTAGGAAACTACTTTGAGCTGTGTGCATTCAACTCACAGAATGCAACCTTTCTTTTGATAGAGCAGTTTTTAAACATTGTTTTTGTAGAATCTGTAAGTGGACATTTTGAGCACTTTGATGTCAGTGGTGAAAAAGGAAATATCTTTACATAAAAACTAGACAGAAGCATCCTAAGGAACTACTTTGTGATGTTTGTATTCAACTCACAGAGTTGAACTTTCCTTTTCATAGAGCAGTTTTGAAACACTCTTTTTGTAGAATCTGCAAGTGGATATTTCAACCGTTTTGAGGCTTATGGTGTAAACGAGAATATCTTCACATAAAAACTAGACAGAAGCATTCTCAGAAACTTCTTTGTGATGTGTGCATTCAACTCACAGAGTTGAACCTTCCTTTAGATAGAGAAGTTTTGAAACAGTCTATTTGTACGATTTGCAAGTGAATATTTGGAGCGCTTTGAGGCCTATGGTGGAAAAGAAGTGTCTTCATATAAAAAGTAGACAGAAGAATTCTCAGAAACTTCTTTATGATGTGTGCATTCAACTTACAGAGTTGAAACTTTGTTTTGACAGAGCAGTTTTGAAACACTCTTTTTGTAGAATCTGCAAATGGATACTTTGAGTTACTTGAAGCCTTCTGTGGAAACCGGAATATCTTCACATAAAAACTAGACAGAAGCACTCTCAGAAACTTCTTTGTGATATGTGCATTCAGCTCAGAGAGTTGAACCTTCCTTTTGATATAACAATTTTAAAACTCTGTTTTTGTAGAATCTGCAAGTGGATATTTGGAGCTCTTTGGGACCTACTGTAGAAATGGAAATATCTTCATATAAAAACTAGACAGAAGCATTCTCAGAAACTACTTTGTGATGTTTGTGTTCAACTCACAGAGTTGAACCTTTCTTTTGATAGAGCAACTTTGAAACACTCTATTTGTTGAATCTGCAAGTGGACATTTGGAGCGCTTTGATGCCTATGGTAAAAAAGTAAATATCTTCACATTGAAACTACGCAGAGGTATTACCAAAAACTTCTTTGAGATGTTTGTCTTCAACTCATAGATTTGAACATTTCTTTTCATATAGCAGTTTTGAAACACTCTTTTTGTAGGACCTGCAAGTGGATATTTGAACGCCTTTGAGGCCTTCTGTGGAAACGGGAATACCTTCACATAAAAACTAGACAGAAAAATTCTCAGAAAGTTTTTGATGTGTGTATTCAACTCACAGAGTTGAACTTTCATTTTGACAGAGCAATTTTGAAAGACTCTGTGTAGAAACTGCAAGTGGATAATTTGACCGCATTAAGGTCTATCATAAAAAAGCAAATATCGTCATATAAAATCTAGACAGAGCCATTCTCAGAAACTCCTTTGTGATGTTTGCATTCCACTCACAGAGTTGAACATTCCTTTTGATAGAGCAGTTTTGAAACACTCTTTTCCTAGAATCCGCAAGTGTATATTTGGAGCACTTTGAGGATTATGGTGTTAAAGGAAATATCTTCACATAAAAACTAGACAGAAGCATTCTCAGAACCTTCTTTGTGTTGGGTGCATTCAACTCACTGAGGTGAACATTTCTTTTGATAGAGCAGTTTTGAAACCCTCTTTTTGTAGAACCTGCAAGTGGATATTTGGAGCGATTTGAGGCCTATGGTGGAAAAGGAAATATCATCATATAAAATCTAGCAGAAAAATTCTCAGAAACTACTTAGTGAAGTGTGCATTCAAGTCACAGAGTTGATCCTTTCTTTTAATAGAGCAGTTTTGAAACACTCTTTTGTAGAATAAGCAAGTGGATATTTGCAGTGCTTTGAAGCCTACGGTGGAAAAGGAAATGTCCTCACGTAAAAACTACACAAAAGCATTCTTAGAAACTTCTTTGTGTTGTGTGCATTCAACTCACAGAGTTGAACCTTTCCTTTAATTGAGGAGTTTAGAAACACTCTCTTTGTAGAATCTTCAAGTCGATATTTGGAGAACTTTGAGGCCTATGGTGGAAAAGGAAATATCTTCACATAAAAACTAGACAGAAATATTCTCAGAAACTTCTTTGTGTTCTGTGCATTCATCTCACAAAGTTGAAACTTTCTTTTGATAGAGTAGTTTTGAAATACTCTTTTTGTGGAATCTACAAGTGGATATTTGAAGCCCTTTGCATCGTACAGCAGAAAAAGAAATGTCCTCACATCAAAACTAGACAGGAGCATTCTCAGAAACCTCTTTGTGTTGTGTGCTTTCAACTCACAGAGTTGAAACTTTCCCTTGATTGAGCAGTTTTCAAACACTCTTTCTGTAGAATCTGCAAGTGGATATTTGGAGCGCTTTGAGGCCTATGGTGGAAAAGGAAATAACTTCACATAAAAACTAGACAGAATCATTCTCAGAAACATCTTTGTGATGTTTGCATTCAACTCACAGATTTGAAGACACATTTTCATAGGGCAGTTTTGAAACACTCTATTCGTAGGATCTTCAAGTGGGTATTTTGACAACTTTGAGGCCTTCGTTGGAAAGGGGAATATCTTCACATAAAAGCTAGACAGAAGAATTCTCACAAACTTATTTGTGATGTGTGCACTCAACTCACAGAGTTGAACTTATCTTTTGGCAGAGCAGTTTTGAAATACTCTTTGTGGGGAATCTGCAAGTGGACATTTGGAAAGCTTTGAGGCCTTTGGTGGAAAAGGAAATATCTTCACATAAAAATTAGTGAGAAGCATTCTCAGAAACTTCTTTGTGATGTAGGCATTCAACTCACAGAGTTGAACATACTTTTTCATAGAGCATTTAGAAACACTCTTTTGGTAGGATTTGCAAGTGGATATTTGGATTGCTTTGAGGCCTTCGTTGGAAAAGGGAATATCTTCACATAAAAACTAGACAGAAGCATTCTCTCAAACTACTTTTTGTTGTGTGCATTCAACTCACAGAGTTCAACCTTTCTTTTGATATAGCAGTTTTGAAACACTCTTTTTGTAGAATCTGCAGGCAGACATTTGGAGAGCTTTGAGGCCTATGGTGGAAAAGGAAATATCTTCGCATAAAAACTAGACAGAAGCATTCAGAGAAACTCCATTGTGATGTTTGTTTGCATTCAACTCACAGCGTTGAGGATACCTTTTCACAGAGCAGTTTTGAAACACTCTTTTCATAGAATCTGCAAGTGAATATTTGGACGGCTTTGAGGAATTCGTTGTAAATGGGAGTATCTTCACATAAAAACTAGACAGAAGCATTCTCAGAAACATCTTGAAGACGTGTGCAATCAATTCACAGAGTTGAATCTTTCTTTTGATAGAGCAGTTTTGAAACACTCTTTTTGTAGTATCTGCAACTGGACATTTGGAGAGCTTTGAAGCTTATGGTGGAAAAGGAAATATCTTCAGATAAAAACTAGACAGAAGCATTCTCAGAAACTTCTTTGTAATGTTTTCATTCAACTCACACAGTTGAACATAACTTTTCATAGAGCAGTTTTGAAACACTCTTTTCGTAGAGTATTTGGACTGCTTTGAGGCCACCGTTGCAAAAGGGAATACCTTCACATAAAAACTAGACAGAAGCATTCTCAGAAACTTCTTTTGATATGTCCATTCAATCCACAGGGTTGAACCTTGCTTTTTATAGAGCAGTTTTGAAACACTGGTTTTGTAGATTGTGCAGGTGGACATTTGGAGGGCTTTGAGGCCTAAGGTGGAAAAGGAAATATCTTCACATAAAAACTAGACAGAAGCATTCTCAGAAACTGCTTTGTGATGTTTGCATTCAATTCACAGAGTTGAATGTACCTTTTCATATAGCAGTTTTGAAACATTGTTTTGGTAGAATCTGCAAGTGGATATTTGGACTGATGTGAGGCCTTCGTTAGAAACGGGTATATCATCTTCACATAAAAACTAGACAGAAACATTCTCAGAAACATCTTCGTGGTGTGTGCATTCAACTCACAGATTTGAACTATTCTTTTGATAGAGCAGTTTTGAAACACTCTTTTTGTAGAATCTGCAAGTGGACAGTTGGAGAGCTTTGAGGCTTAAATGGGAAAGGAAATATCTTCACATAAAAACCAGACAGAAGCACTTTCAGAAATTTCTTTGTGATGTTTGCATTCAACTCACAGAGTATAACCTGTCTTTTTATAGATCAGTTTTAACACACTCTTTTTGTAGAATCTGCAAGTGGACATTTGGAGAGCTTTGAGGCCTATGGTGGAAAAGGAAATATCTTCACATAAAAACTAGACAGAAGCATTCTCAGAAATTCTTTGTGATGTTTCTCTATGAAAAGGTATCTTTTCATAGAACAGTTTTGGAACACTCTTTTCGTAGAATCTGCAAGTGGATATTTGGACTGTTTTGAGGCTTCGATGGAAACGGGAATATCTTCACATAAAAACTAGACAGAAGCATTCTCAGAAACTTGTTTCTGATATTTGAATTCAACTCACAGATTTGAAGATACCTTTGCATAGAGCAGTTTTGAAACGCTCTTTTCATACAATCTACAAGTGGATATTTGGACTGCTTTGTGGCCTTCGTTGGAAACGGGAATATCTTCACATAAAAACCAGAGAGAAACTTTCTCAGAAACTGCTTTGTGATATGTGCATTCAATTTGCAGATTTGAACCTTTCTTTTGATAGAGCAGTTTCGAAACACTCTTTTTGTAGAATCTGCAAGTGGACATTTGGAGAGCTTTGAGGCCTATGGTGGAAAAGGAAATATCTACACATAAAAACCACACAGAAGCATTATCAGAAACTTGTTTCTGATGTTTGCATTCAACTCACAGACTTGAAGATACCTTTTCAGAGAACAGATTTGAAACACTCTTTTCGTACAATCTGCAAGTGGATATTTGGACAGATTTGAGGCCTTGGTTGGAAACGGCAAAATCTTCACATAAGAACTAGACAGAAGCATTCTCGGAAACTTCTTTGTGATGTTTCTCTATGAAAAATATCTTTTCAAAGAGCAGTTCCGAAACACTCTTTACGTATTATCTGCAAGTGTATATTTGGACTGCTTTGAGGCCTTTGATGGAAACAGGAATATCGTCACATAAAAACTAGACAGAAGCATTCCCAGAAACATCTATGTGATGTTTGAATTCAACTCACAGATTTGAAGATAACTTTTCATAGAGCAGTTTTGAAACACTCTTTTCATACCATCTGCAAGTGAATATTTGATCTGTTTTGTGGCCTTCTTTGGAAACGGGAATATCTTCATATAAAAACCAGATAGAAACATTCTCAGAAACTTTTTTGTGATATGTGCATTCAACTCAGAGATTTGAACCTTTCTTTTGATAGAGCAGTTCTGAAACAGTCTTTTTGTAGAATCCGCAAGTGGACATTTGGAGAGTTTTGAGGCCTATGGTGGAAAAGGAAATATCTACACATAAAAACCACACAGAAGCATTCTCAGAAACTTCTTTCTGATGTTTGCATTCAACTCACAGAGCTGAAGATATGTTTTCATAGAGCAGTTTTCAAACACTCTTTTGCATATCTGCAAGTGGATATTTGGACTGCTTTGAAGCCTTCGTTGTAAACAGGAATATTTTCACATAAAAACTAGACAGAAGCATTCTCATAAACGTCTTTGTGATGTGTGCATTCAACTCACAGAGTTGAACCTTTCTTTTGATAGAGCAGTTTGGAAACACTCTTTTTGTAGAATCTGCAAGTGGACATTTGTAGAGCATTGAGGCCTATGGTGGAAAATGAAATATCTTCACATAAAAACTAAACAGAAGCATTCTCAGAAACTTCTTTGTGATGTTTGCATTCAACTCACAGAGTTGAAGATACCTTTTCATAGAGCAGTCTTGAAAGACTCTTTTCGTAGGATATGCAAGTGGATATATGGACTGCTTTGAGGCCTTCGTTGGAAACGGGAATATCTTCACATAAAAACTATTCAGAAGCATTCTCAGAAACTTCTTTGTGATGGGTGCATTCAACTCACAGGGTTGATCCTTTCTTTTATAAAGCAGTTTTGAAACACTCTTTTGTAGAATCTGCAAGTGAACATTTTGAGAGCTTTGAGGCCTGTGCTGGAAAAGGAAATATCTACACATAAAAACTAGACAGAAGCATTCTCAGAAACTTCTTTGTGATGTTTGCATTCAACTCACAGATTTGAAGATACCCTTTCATAGAGTAGTTTTGAAACACTCTTTTCGTACAATCTTCAAGTGGATATTTGAACAGATTTGAGGCCTTCGTTGGAAACGGGAATATCTTCACATAAGAACTAGACAGAAGCATTCTCACAAACTTCTTTGTGATGTCTGCATTCAATTCCCTGGTTTGTAGCTTTCTTTTGCAAGTGGAGAGTCTGAAAGTGGACATTTGGAGAGCTTTGAGGCCTATGGTGGAAAAGGACATATCTTCACATAAAAACTAGAGAGAAGATTTCTCAGAAACTTCTTTGTGATGTTTGCATTCGACTCACAGTGTTGAATGTATGTCTTCATAGTGCAGTTTTTAAACACTATTTTCGTAGTATCTGCAAATGGATATTTGGACTGCTTTGAGGCCTTCTTTGGGAATAGGAATATCTCCACATAAAAACTATACAAAAACATTCTCAGAAACTTCTTTGTGATGTGTGCATTCAACTCACAGATTTGAAACTTTCTTTTGATAGAGCAGTTTTGACACATTCTTTTTGTAGAATCTGCAAGTGGACATTTGAAGAGCTTTGAGTTCTATGGTGGAAATGGAAATACCCACACATAAAAACTAGACAGAAGCATTCTCAGAAACTTCTTTGTGATGATGGATTCAACTCACAGAGTTGAATCTTTCTTTTGATAGAGCAATTTTGACACACTGTTTTTGTAGAATCTGCCATTGGACATTTGGAGAACTTTGAGGCCTATGGTGGAAAAGGAAATATCTACACATAAAAACTAGACAGAAGCATTCTCAGAAACTTCTTTGTGATGTTTCTCTATGAAAAGGTATCTTTTCATAGAGCAGTTTTGAAACACTGTTTTCGTAGAATCTGCTAGTGGATATTTGGACTGCTTTGAGACCTTTGATGGAAATGGGAATATATTCACATAAAAACTAGAAAGAAGCATTCTCAGAAACTTCTTTGTGATGTTTGATTTCAACTCACCGATTTGAAGATACCTTTTCATAGAGCAGTTGTGAAACACTCTTCAAATAATCTGCACGTGAATATTTGGATTGCTTGGTGGCCTTCGTTGGAAACGGGAATATGTTCACATAAAAACCAGACAGAAACATTTTCAGAAACATCATTGTGATATGTGCATTCAACTGAGAGTTGAACCTTTCTTTTGATAGAGCAGTTTTGAAACACTCTTTTTGTAGAATCTTCAAGTGGACATTTGGAGAGTTTTGAGGCCTATGGTGGAAAAGGAAATATCTACGCATAAAAACCACACAGAAGCATTCTCAGAAACATCTTTGTGATGTTTGCATTCAACTCACAGATTTGAACATACCTTTGCATAGAGCAGTTTTGAAACACTCTTTTCATAGAATCTGCAAGTGCATATTTGAACTGCTTTGAGGATTTCATTGGAAACGGGAATATCTTCACATAAAAACGAGACAGAAGCATTCACAGAAACTCCTTTTTGATGTGTGCATTCAACTCACAGATTTGAACCTTTCTTTTGATAGAGCAGTTTTGAAACATTCTTTTTGTAGAATCTGCAAGTGGACATTTGGATAGCTTTGAGGCCTATGGTGGAAAAGGAAATATCTACACATAAAAACTAGACAAAAGCATTCTCAGAAACTTCTTTGTGATGTTTGCATTCAACTCACAGACTTGAAGATACCTTTTCAGAGAGGAGTTTTGAAACAATGTTTTCATAGAATCTGCAAGTGGATATTTGAACTGCTTTGTGGCCTTCGTTGGAAACGGTGATATCTTCACATAAAACTATACAGAAGCATTCTCAGAGACTTCTTTGTGATCTGTGCATTCAACTCACAGAGGTGAACCTTTCTTTTGATAGAGCAGTTTTGAAACACTCTTTTTGTAGAATCTGCAAGTGGACATTTGGAGAGCTTTGAGGCCTATGGTGGAAAAGGAAATATCTACACACAAAAACCACACAGAAGCATTCTCAGAAACATCTTTGTGATGTTTGCATTCAACTCACAGAGTTGAAAGTACCTTTTCGTATAGCAGTTTTGAAACGCTCTTATCTAAAATGTGCAAGTGGATATTTGCACTGCTTTGAGGAGTTCATTGCAACGGGAATATCTTCACATAAAAACTAGACAGAAGCATTCTCAGAAACTTCTTTGTGATGTGTGCATTCAACTCACAGATTTCATCCTTTCTTTTCATAGAGCAGTTTTAAAACACTCTTTTTTTAGAATCTGCATGTGGACATTTGGATAGCTTTGAGGCCAGTGATGGAAAAGGAAATATCTACACATAAAAACTAGACAAAAGCATTCTCAGAAGCTTCTTTGTGATGTTTGCATTCAACTCACAGAGTTGAAGATAACTTTTCATAGAGCAGTTTTGAAACATTCTTTTCATAGAATCTGCAATGGATATTTGGACTGCTTTGAGGCCTTCATAGGAAACAGGAATATTGTCACATAAAAACTATACAGAAGCATTCTCACAAACTTCTTTGTTATATGTCCACCCAACTCACAGAGTTAAACCTTTCTTTTGGTAGAGCAGTTTTGAAAAACCCTTTTTGTAGTATCAGCAAGTGGACATTTGGAAAGCTTTTAGGCCAGTGGTGGAAAAGGAAATATCTTCACACAAAAAACAGACAGAAGCATTCTGAGAAACTTCTTTGTGATGTTTGCAATCAACTCACAGAGTTGAACCTACTTTTTAAGAGAGCAGATTTGAAACACTCTTTTCCTTGAATCTGCAAGTGCATATTTGGACTGTTTTGTGGCCTTCGTTGGAAACGGGAAAATCTTCACATAAAAACTAGACAGAAGCATTCACAGAAGCTTCTTTGTGATGTGTGCATTCACTTCACAGAGTTGAACGTTTCTTTTGATAGAGCAGTTTTGAAACACTCTTTTTGTAGAATCTGCAAGTGGATATTTGGATATCTTTGAGGCCTATGGTGGAGAAGGAAATATCTTCACATAAAAACTAGACAGAAGCATTCTCAGAAACTTCTTTGTGATGTTAGCATTCAACTCACAGAGTTGAAGTTACCTTTTCATAGAGCAGTTTTGAAAAACTCTTTTCGTAGAATCCGCAAGTGGATATTTGGACTGCTTTTAGGCCTTCGTTGGAAACGGGAATATCTTCACATAAAAACTAGACAGAAGAGTTCTCAGAAACTTCTTTGTGTTGTGTGCATTCAACTCACATGTTTGAACCTTTCTTTTGATAGAGCAGTTTTGAAACACTCTTTTTGTAGAATCTGCAAGTGGACATTTGCAGAGCTTTGTGGCCTATGGTGGAAAAGGAAAAATTTTCACATAAAAACTAGACAGAAGCATTCCCAGAAACATCTTTATGATGTTTGCATTCAACTTACAGAGTGGAAAGTACCTTTTCATAGAGCAGTTTTGAAACACTCTTGTCGTAGTATCAGCAAGATGATATTTGGACTGCTTTGAGGCCTTCTTTGGAAAAGGGTATATCTTCACATAAAAACTAGACAGAAGCATTCTCAGAAACTTCTTTGTGATGTTAGCATTCAACTCACAGAGTTGAAGTTACCTTTTCATAGAGCAGTTTTGAAAAACTCTTTTCGTAGAATCCGCAAGTGGATATTTGGACTGCTTTTAGGCCTTCGTTGGAAACGGGAATATCTTCACATAAAAACTAGACAGAAGAGTTCTCAGAAACTTCTTTGTGTTGTGTGCATTCAACTCACATGTTTGAACCTTTCTTTTGATAGAGCAGTTTTGAAACACTCTTTTTGTAGAATCTGCAAGTGGACATTTGCAGAGCTTTGTGGCCTATGGTGGAAAAGGAAAAATTTTCACATAAAAACTAGACAGAAGCATTCCCAGAAACATCTTTATGATGTTTGCATTCAACTTACAGAGTGGAAAGTACCTTTTCATAGAGCAGTTTTGAAACACTCTTGTCGTAGTATCAGCAAGATGATATTTGGACTGCTTTGAGGCCTTCTTTGGAAAAGGGTATATCTTCACATAAAAACTAGAAAGAAGCATCCTCAGAAACTTCTTTGTGATATGTGCACACAACTCACAGACTTGTACTTCTCTTTTGATAGAGCAGTTTTTCAACACTCTTTTTATAGAATCTGCATGCGGACATTTGGAAAGCTTTGAGGCCTATGGTGGAAAAGGAAATATCTTCACATTAAAACCAGACAGAAGCATTCTAAGAAACTTCTTTGTGATGTTTGCATTCAACTCACAGAGTTGACCAACCCTTTTCATAGAGCAGTTTTGAAACACTCTTTTCTTACAATCTGCAAGTGGATATTTGGACTGCTTTGAGGCTTTCATTGGAAACGGGAAGATTTTCACATAAAAACTAGACGAAAGCATTCTCAGAAACTTCTTTGTGATGTGTTTATTCAACTCACGGAGTTGAACCTTTCTTTTGATAGAGCTGTTTTGAAACACTCTTTTTGTGGATCATCAAGTGGACATTTGGAGAGCTTTGAGGCCTACAGTAGAAAAGGAAATATATACACGTAAAAACTAGACAGAAGCATTCTCAGAAACTTCTTTGTGATGTTTGCATTCAACTCAAAGAGCTGAAGATACCTTTTCATAGAGCAGTTTTGAAACACTCATTTCATAGAATCTGTAAGTGGATATGTGGACTGCTTGGAGGCCTTCGTTGGAAACCGGAATATGTTCACATAAAAACCAGACAGCAGCATTCTCAGAAACTTCTTTGTGATGTGTGCATTCAACTCACAGAGTTGAACCTTTCTTTTCATAGAGGACTTTTGAAACACACTTTTGTAGAATCTGCAAGTGGACATTTGGAGAGCCCTGAGGCCTATGGTGGAAAATGAAATATCTACACATAAAAATTAGACAGAAGCATTCTCAGACACTTCTTTGTGATGTGTGCATTCGACTCACAGAGTTGAAGATACCTTTTCAAAGAGCAGTTTTGAAACTCTCTTTTCGCAATATCTGCAAGTGGATATTTGGACTGCTTTGAGGCCTTCACTGGAAACGGGTATATCTTCACATAAAAACTAGACAGATGCATTCTCAGAAACTTTTTTGTTATGTTTGCATTCATCTCACAGAGTTGATGATTTCTTTTCATAGAGCAGTTTTGAAACACTCTTTTCGTAAAATCTGCAAGTGGATATTTGGACTGCTTTGTGGCCTTGTTGGAAACGGGAATATCTTCACTTAAAAAGTAGACAGAAGCATTCTCAGAAACGTCTTTGTAATGTGTGCATTCAACTCACAGATTTGAATCTTTCTTTTGATAGAGCAGTATTGAAACACCCTTTTTGTACAATCTGCAAGTGGACATTTGGAGTGTTTTGAGCCAAATAGTGGAAAAAGAAATATCTACACATAAAAACTAGACAGAGGCATGCTCAGAAACTTCTTTGTGTTGTTTGCATTCAACTCACAGAGTTGAAGATACCTTTTCATAGAGCAGTCTTGAAACACTCTTTTCGTAGAATCTGCAAGTGAATATTTGGACTGCTTTGAGGCCTTCGTTGGAAACTGGAATATCTTCACATAAAAACTAGACAGAAGCATTCTCAGAAAGTTCTTTGTGAAGTGTGCATTCATTTCACTGATATATACCTTTCTTTTGATACAGCAGTTTTGAAACACTATTTTTAGAATCTGCAAGGGGACATTGGGAGAGCTTTGAGGCCTACAATGGAAAAGGAAATATCTTCACATAAAAACTAGACAGAATCATTCTCAGAAACATCTTTGTGATGTGTGCATTCAACTGACTGATTTGAAGATACCTTTTCATAGAGCTGTTTTGAAACACTCTTTTCGTGGAATGTGCAATTGGATATTTGGACTGCTTTGAGGCCTTCATTGGAAACGGGATTATCTTTACATAAGAACTATACAGAAACATTCTCAGAAACTTCTTTGTGATGTGAGCATTGCACTCACAGATTTGAACCTTTCTTTTCATAGAGCAGTTTTGAAACACTCTTTTTGTAGTATCTGCAAGTGGACATTTGGAGAGTTTTGAGGACAATGGTGGAAAAAGAAATACCTACACATAAACGCTAGACAGAATCCTTCTCAGAAACTTCTTTGTGATGTTTGCATTCAACTCACAGAGTTGAAGATATCTTCTCATAGAGCAGTTTTGAAACACTCTTTTCGTAGAATCTGCAAGTGAATATTTGGACTGCTTTGAGACCTTCGTTTGAAACTGGAATACCTACACATAAACACTGGACAGAAGTCTTCTCAGAAACTTATTTGTGATGTGTACATTCAACTCACAGAGTTGAACCTTTCGATAGACCAGTTTTGAAACACACTTTTTGTAGAATCTTTAAGTGGACCTTCGGATAGCTTTGAGGCCTATGGTGGAAAAGGAAATATCTACACATAAAAACTAGACAGAAGCATTCTCAGAAACTTCTTTGTGATGCTAGCATTCACCTCACAGAGTTGAAGATACCTTTTCATAGAGGAGTTTTGGAACACTCTTTTCAAAGTATCTGCAAGTGGATGTTTGGACTGCTTTGAGGCCCTCGTTGGAAATGAGAATATCTTCACATAAAATCTATTCAGAAGAATTCTCAGAAACTTCTTTGTGATGTGTGCATTCAACTCACAGATTTGATCCTTTCTTTTGATAGAGCAGTTTTGAAACACTCTTTTTGTAGAATCTGAAAGTGGATATTTGGAGAGCTTTGAGGCCTAGGGTGGAAAAGGAAATATCTACACATAAAAACTAGACAGACAGAAGCATTCTCATAAACTTCTTTTTGTGATGTTTGCATTCAACTCACAGAGTTGAAGATACCTTTTTAAAGAGCAGTTTTGAAACACTCTTTTCATAGCATATGCAAGTGGATATTTGGACTGCTTTGAGGCCTTCAATGGAAACGGGTATATCTTCACAGAAAAACTAGCCAGAAGCATTGTCAGAAACTTCTTTCTGATGTGTGCATTCAATTCACAGATTTGTACCTTTCTATTGATAGAGCAGTTGTGAAACATTATTTTTAGAATCTGCAAGTGGACATTTGGAGACCCTTCAGGCCGACTTTGCAAAAGGAAATATTTTCACATAAAAACTAGACAGAAGCATTCTCAGAAACTTCTTTTTGATGTTTGCATTCAATTCACAGAGTTGAACATAGCTTTTCATAGAGCAGTTTTGAAAAACTCTTTTCATAGAATCTGCAAGTGGATATTTGGACTGCTTTGAGACCTTCGTTTGAAACTGGAATACCTACACATAAACACTAGACAGAAGACTTCTCAGAATCTTCTTTGTGATGTGTGCATTCAACTCACAGAGTTGAACCTTTCTTTTGATAGAGCAGTTTTGAAACACACTTTTGTAGAATCTTCAAGTGGACCTTTGGTCAGCTTTGAGGCCTATGGTGGAAAAGGAAATATCTACACATAAAAACTAGACAGAAGCATTCTCAGAAACTTCTTTGGATGCTAGCATTCACCACACAGAGTTGAGGATACCTTTTCATAGAGCAGTTTTGAAACTCTCTTTTCATAGTATCTGCAAGTGGATGTTTTGGACAGCTTTGAGGCCTTCGTTGGAAATGGGAATATCTTCACATAAAATCTATTCAGAAGAATTCTCAGAAACTTCTTTGTGATGTGTGCGTTCAACCCACAGTGTGGAACCTCTCTTTTGATAGAGCAGTTTTGAAGCACTCTTTTTGTAGAATCTGCAAGTGGACATTTGGAGTGCTTTGAGCCCTATGGTGGAAAAGGAAATATCCACACATAAAAATTAGACAGAACATTCTCAGGAACTTCTTTGTGATGTTTTCATTCAACTCAGAGAGTTGAACATATCTTTTCATAGAGCAGTTTTGAAACCTTCTTTTCTCAGACTGTACAAGTGGATATTTGGACTGCTTTGAGGCCTTCGTTGAATGGGAATATCTTCACATAAAAACTATGTGGAAGCATTCTCAGAAACTTACAGGAAAGGGAATATCACACTCTGGGAACTGTTTTGGGTTGGGGGTAGGGGGGAGGGATAGCACTGGGAGATGCACCTAATGCTGGATGACGAGTTAGTGGGTGCAGCGCACCAGCATGGCAAATGTATACATATGTAACTAACCTGCACAATGTGCACATGTACCCTAAAACTTAAAGTATACTAATAAAGAATAAATTAAAAAAAAGGAAACTGCTTTGTGATGTGTGCATTCAACTCACAGACTTGAACCTTTCTTTTATAGAACAGTTCTGAAACACTCTTTTGTAGAATCTGCAAGTGGGAATTTGGAGAGCTTTGAGGCCTATGGTGGAAAAGGAAATATGTACACATAAAACTAGACAGAAGCATTCTCAGAAAATTCTTTATGATATTTGCATTCAACTCACAGAGCTGAAGATACTTTTCATAGAGCAGTTTTGAAACACTCTTTTTATAGAATCTGCAAGTGGATATGTGGACTGCTTTGAGGACATCGTTGGAAACCGGAATATCTTCACATAAAAACTAGACAGAAGCATTCTCAGAAACTTCTTTGTGGTGTGTGCATTCAACTCACAGAGTTGAACCTTTCTTTTGATAGAGGACTTTTGAAACACTCTTTTTGTAGAATCTGCAAGTGGACATTTGGAGAGCCTTGAGGCCTATGGTGGAAAAGTAAATATCTACACATAAAAATTAGACAGAAGCATTCTCAGAAACTTCTTTGTGATGTGTGCATTCAACTCACAGAGTTGAAGATACATTTTCAAAGAGCCGTTCGAAGCTCTCTTTTCATAGAATCTTAAGTGGATATTTGGACTGCTTTGAGGCCTTCACTGGAAACGGGTATATCTTCACATAAAAACTAGACAGAAGCATTCTCAGAAACTTCTTTGTGATGTTTGCATTCACCTCACAGAGTTGAAGATACCTTTCCATAGAGCAGTTTTGAAACACTCTTTTCGTAAAATCTGCAAGTGGACATTTGGACTGCTTTGTGGCTTTGTTGGAAACGGGAATATCTTCACATAAAAAGTAGACAGAAGCATTCTCAGGAACTTCTTTGTAATGTGTTCATTCAGCTCACAGATTTGAATCTTTCTTTTGATAGAGCAGTTTTGAAACACCCTTTTTGACAATCTGCATGTGGACATTTGGAGAGTTTTGAGGCGAATGGTGGAAAAAGAAATATCTACACATAAAAACTAGACAGTAGCCTTCTCAGAAACTTCTTTGTGTTGTTTGCATTCAACTCACAGAGTTGAAGATAGGTTTTCATAGAGCAGTCTTGAAACACTGTTTTCGTAGAATCTGCAAGTGAACATTTGGACTGCTTTGAGGCCTTCGTTGGAAACTGGATTATCTTCACATAAAAACTAGACAGAAACATTCTCAGAAACTTCTTTGTGAAGTGTGCATTCAATTCACTGATTTGTACCTTTCTTTTGATAGAGCAGTTTTGAAACACTATTTTTGGAATCTGCAAGGGGACATTGGTAGATCTTTGAGGCATACGGTGGAAAAGGAAATATCTTCAAATAAAAATTAGACAGAATCATTATCAGAAACTTCTTTGTGATGTGTGCATTCAACTCACAGATTTGAAGATACCTTTTCATAGAGCTCTTTTGAAATACCCTTTCGTAGAATGTGCAATGGGATATTTGGACTGCTTTGAGACTTTCATTGGAAACGGGAATATCTTCACACAAAAACTAGATATAAGCATTCTCAGAAACTTCTTTGTGCTGTGTGCATTCAACTCACAGATTTGAACCTTTCTTTTCATAGAGTAGTTTTGAAACACTCTTTTTGTACTCTCTGCAAGTGGACATTTGGAGAGTTTTGAGGCCAATGGTGGAAAAAGAAATACCTACACACAAACAGTAGACAGAATCCTTCTCAGAAACTTCATTGTGATATTTGCTTTCAACTCACGGAGTTGAAGATACCTTTTCATAGAGCAGTTTTGAAACACTCTTTTCGTAGAATCTGCAAGTGTATATTTGAACTTCTTTGAGGTGTTCATTGGAAACGGGTATATCTTCACACAAAAACTAGACAGAAGCAGTCTCAGAAACTTCTTTGTCTTGTTTGCAGTCAAATCACAGAGTTGAACGTAACTTTCCATAGAGCAGTTTTGAAACACTCTTTTCGTAGAATCTGCAAGTGAATATTTTTACTGCTTTGAGGCCTCCATTGGAAACGGGAATATCGTCACATAAAAATTATACAGAATCATTCACAGAAACTTCTTTGTGATGTGTTCATTCAACTCACAGGGTTGAACCTTTCTTTTGATAGAGCAGTTTTGAAACACTCTTTTTGTAGAATCTGCAAGTGGACATTTGGAGAGCTCTGAGGCCTAAGGTGGAAAAGGAAATATCTTGACATAAAAACTAGATAGAAGCATTCTCAGAAACTTCTTTGGGATGCGTGCCTTCAACTCACAGAGTTAAACCTTTCTTTTGATAGAGCAGTTTTGAAACACTCTATTCGTTGAATCTGCAAGCGGACATTTGGAGAGATTTGAGTCCTATGGTGGCAAAGGTAATATCTTCAAGTAGAAACTAGACAGAACAATTTTCAGAAACTTCTTTGTGATGTTTGCATTCAACACACAGAGTTGAACATACCTTTTCATACAGCAGTTTTGAAACACTCTTTTGTTTATATCTACAAATGGATATTTGGACTGCTTAGAGGCCTTCTTTGGAAACGGGAATATATTCACATAAAAACTAGACAGAAGCATTCTCAGAAACGTCTCTGTGATGTGTGCATTCAACTCACAGAGTTGAACCTTTCTTTTGATAGAGCAGTTTTGAAACACTCTTTATGTATTATCTGCAAGTGGACATTTGGAGAGCTTTGAGGCCTATTGTGGAAAACGAAATATCTACACATAAAAACTAGACAGAAGCATTCTCAGAAACTTCTTTGAGATGTTTGCATTCAACACACAGTGTTGAACATACCTTTTCATAGAGCAGTTTTGAAACACTCTTTTCGTAGAATCTGCAAGTGGATATTGGGACTGCATTGAGGCCTTCGTAGGAAAGGGGAATATCTTCACCTAAAAAGTAGACAAAATCATTCTCAAAAACTTCTTTGTGATGAGTGCATTCAACTCACAGAGTTGAACCTTTCTTTTGATAGAGCAGTTTTGAAACACTCTTTTTCTAGTATCTGCAAGTGGACATTTGGAGAGCTTGGAGGCCTATGGTGGAAAAGGAAATATCTTCACATAAAAACTAGACAGAAGCATTCTCAGAAACATCTTTGTGATGTTTGCATTCAGTACACAGAGTTGAACACAACTTTTCTTAGAGTAGTTTTGAAACACTCTTTTCTTTATATCTGCAAGTGGACATTTGGACTGCTTAGAGGCCTTCATTGGAAACGGGATTATATTCACATAAAAACTGGACAGAAACATTCTCAGAAACTTCTTTGTGATGAGTGCATTCATCTCACAGAGTTGAACCTTTCTTTTGTTAGAGCAGTTTTGAAACACTCTTTTTCTAGAATATGCAAGTGGATATTTGGAGTGCTTTGAGGCCTATTTTGGAAAGAGAAATATCTTCACATTAAAACTAGACAGAAGCATTCTGAGAAACTTCTTCGTGATATGTGCATTCATATCACATAGTTGAACCTATCTTTTGATTGAGCAGTTTTGAAACACTCTTTTTGTTGAATCTGCAAATGGATATTTGGAGCCCTTAGCGGAATATGGTGGAAAACGAAATATCTTCACACGAAAACTACACAGAAGCTTTCTGAGAAATTTCTTGGTGATGTGTGCATTCACCTCATAGATGTGAATCTGTTTTTTTCATTGAGCAGTTTGGAAACACTCTTTTTGTAGAATCTGAAAGTGGATATTTGGAACGCTTTGGTGCCTATGGTGGAAAAGGAAATATGTTCACATAAAAACTACACAGAAGCATTCTGAGAAACTTATTTGTGATGTTTGCCTTCATCTCACAGACTTGAACATTTCTTTTGATTGAGCAGTTATGAAACACTCTTTTAATGGAATCTGCAAGTGGATATTTGGAGCACTTTTTGGCCTAATGTGGAAAAGGAAATATCTTCACATAAAAACTACACAGAACAATTCTCAGAAACTCCTTTATGATGTGTGCATTCATCTCACATAGTTGAAACTTTCTTTTGATTGAGCAGCTTTGAAACACAGTTTTTGAGGTATCTGCAAGTGGATAATTTCTGCACTTTGAGGCTTATGGTGGAAAATGAAATATCTTCACATTAAAACTACACAGAATCATTCTCAGAAACTTCTTTGTGATGTGTCCATTCATATAACGGAGTTGAACCTTTCTTTTGGTTGAACAGTTTGGATACACTCTTTTTGTAGCACCTACAAGTGGATATTTCAAGCACTTTGAGGCATACTGTAGAAAAGGAAATATCTTCACGTAAGTACTACAGGGAAGCATTCTAAGAAACTTCTTTGTGATGTGTCCATTCATCTCACTTTGTTGAACCTTTCTTTTGATTGAGCAGTTTTGAAACACTTTTTTTGTGGAATCTCTAAGTGGATATTTGGAGTGCTTTAGGGCCTGTGGTGGGAAAGGAAATATCTTCACATAAAAACTACAGAGAAACATTCTGAGAAACTTCTTTGTGATGTGTGCATTCCTCTCACAGAGTTGAACCTATCTTTGGATTGAGCAGCTTTGAATGTCTATTTTTAGAATATCTGCAAGTGGATATTTTGATTCCTTTGCTGCCTATTTTGGAAAAGGTAATATCTTCACCTAAAAACTACACAGAAGCATTCTGAGAAACTTCTTTCTGATGTGTGCATTCATCTCACAGTGTTGAACTTTTATTTTGATTGAGCAGATTTGAAACACTCTTTTTATAGTATCTACAAGTGGATAATTGAAGCACTTTGAGGCCTACTGTGGAAAAGGAAATATCTTTACAGAAAAACTACACTGATGCATTCTGAGAAAGTTCTTTGTGATGTGTGCATTCACCTCACAGAGTTGATCCTTTCTTTTGATTGAGTGGTTTTGAATCTCTTCTTGTAGAATCTGCAAGTGGATATTTATAGACCTTTCAGCCTATTTTGGAAACGGAAATATCTTCACATAAAAGCTACACAGAAGCATTCTGAGAAACTTCTCTGAGATGTGTGCATTCTTCTCACAGAGTTGAAACTTTCTTTGGTTTGAGCATTTTTGAAACACGCTTTTTGTAGACTTGGCAGGTGGATATTTGGAGGACTTTGAGACATATTGTGGAAAACGAAATATCTACACAGAAAAACTACACAGAAGCTTTCTGAGAAACTCCTTTGTTCAGTGTGCATTCATGTCACAGTGTTGAACCTTTCTTTTGATAGAGCAGTTTGGAAACACTCTTTTTTTAGAATCTCCAAGTGGATATTTGGAGCGCTTTGAGGCCTATCATGGAAAAGGAAATAAGTTCACAGAAAAACTACACAGAAGCATTCTGAGAAACTTCTCTGAGATGTGTGCATTCTTCTCACAGAGTTGAAACTTTCTTTGGATTGAGCATTTTTGAAACACACTTTTTGTAGAATCGGCAGGTGGATATTTGGAGCACTCTGAGACATATTGTGGAAAACGAAATATCTACACAGAAAAACTACACAGAAGCTTTCTGAGAAACTCCTTTGTTCAGTGTGCATTCATGTCACAGTGTTGAACCTTTCTTTTGATAGAGCAGTTTGGAAACACTCTTTTTTTAGAATCTCCAAGTCGATATTTGGAGTGCTTTGAGGCCTATCATGGAAAAGGAAATAAGTTCACAGAAAAACTACACAGAAGCATTCTGAGAAACTTCTTTGTGATGTGTGCATTCATCCCACAGAATCAAAACTTTCTTTTGATAGAGCAGTTTTGAAGCACTCTTTTTATAGGATCTGCAAGTGGATATTTGGAGCGCTTTGAGTCCTATTATGGAAAAGGAAATATCTTCACATAAAAACAACACAGAAGGATTCTGAGAAACTTCTTCATGATGTGTGCATTGATCTCACAGAGTTGAAATTTTCTTTTGATTGAGCAGTTTTGAAACACTCTTTTTGTATAATCGACAGGTGGATATTTGGACTACTTTGGGACATATTGTGGAAAAGGAAATATCTTCACAAAAATCCTAAATGGAAACATTCTGAGAAACTTTTTTGTTTTGTGTGCATTCATCTCACAGGGTTGAGTCTTTCTTTTGACTGAACAGTTTGGAAACAGTCTTTTGTAGAATCTCCAAGTGGATATTAAGAGTGCTTTGGGGCTCATGGTTGAAAAGGAAATATCTTCACATAAAAACTAAACAGAAGCATTCTGAGAAACTTCTTTGTGCTGTGTGCATTCAACTCACAGAGCTGAATCTTTCTTTTGACTGAGCAGTTTTGAATCTCTCTTTTTGTAGAATCTGTATGTACATATTTAGAGCCCATTGCGGTCTATTTTGGAATAGGAAATAAGTTCACATAAAAACTACACAGAAGCATTCTAAGAAACTTCTTTGTGACGTGTGCATTCATCTCCCAGAGTTGACCCTTTCTTTTGATTGCACAGTTTGGAAACAGTCTTTTTGTAGAATCTGCAACTGGATATTTGGAGCGCATTGAGGCCTATGGTGGAAAAGGAAATATCTTCCCATAAAAACTAGACAGAAGAGTTCTGAGAAACTTATTTGTGATGTCTGCATTCCACTCACAGATTTGAACCTATCTTTAGATTGAGCAGTTTTGAATCTCTCTTTTTGTGGATATTTGGAGCACTTTGCTGCTCCAAATTTTGGAAAATGAAATATCTTCACAAAAAAAATACACAGAAGCATTCTGAGAAACTTCTTTCTGATGTGTGCATTTATCTCACACTTTTGAACTTTTATTCTGATTTTGCGGATTTGAAACACACTTTTTATAGAATCTGCATGTGGATAATTGCAGCGTATTGAGGCCTATTGTGGAAAAAGAAATATCTTCACAGGAAAAGTACACAGAACCATTCTGAGAAACTTTGTTGTGATGAGTGCATTCATGTCACAGAGTTGAACCTTTCTTTTGATTCAGTTTGGAACACTGTTTTTGTAGAATCTGCAAGTGGATATTTGGAGCACTTTGAGGTATCAGGTGGAAAAGGAAATATCTTCATTTAAAAACTGCACAGAAGCATTCTGAGAAACTTCTCTGTGATGTGTGCCTTCAACTCACAGACTTGAACATATTTTGATTGAGCAGTTTTGAAACACTCTATTTATAGTATCTGCAAGTGAATATTTGGAGCGCTTTGAGGCCTATTTTGGAAAAGGAAACATCTTCACAAAAAAACTACACAGAAGCATTCTTAGAAACTCCTTTGTGATGTGTGCATTCAACTCACATAGTTGAATGTATCTTTTGATTGATCGGTTATGAATTTCTGTTTCTGTAGAATCTGCAACTGGATATTTGGAGCCCTTTCCTGCCTATTTTGTAAAAGGAAATAAGTTAACATAAAAACTACACAGAAGCATTCTCAGAAACTTCTTTCTGATGTGTGCATTCATCTCACAGTGTTGAAACTTTATTTTGATTGAGCAGTTTTGAAACACTCTATTTGTAGTATCTGCAAGTGAATATTTGGAGCGCTTTGAGGCCTATTGTGGAAAAGGAAATATCTTCACATAAAAACTACAAAGAAGCATTTTGAGAAAGTTCTTTGTGATGTTTGCATTCATCTCACAGACTTGAACCTATCTTTTGATAGAGCAGTTTTGAAACTCTCTTTTTGTAGAATGTGCAAGTGGAAATGTGGAGAGCTTTGAGGCCTGTGGTGGAAAAGGAAATATCTTCACATAAAAACGACACAGAAGAACTCTGAGAAACTTCTTTGTGTGTGTGCATTCAACTCACAGATGTGAACATATCTTTTGATAGAGCAGCTTTGAAACTCTCTTTTTGTAGAATCTGCAATTGGATATTTGGAGCCATTTGCTGCCTAAGGTGGAAAAGCAAATATCTTCACGTAAAAACTACACAGAAGCATTGTGAGAAAATTCTCTGAGATGTGTGCATTCTTCTCACAGAGTTGAAACTTTCATTGATTGAGCATTTTTGAAAAACCCTTTTTGTAGAATCAGCAGGCTGCTATTTGGAGAACTTTGAGACCTATTGTGGAAAACAAACTATCTTCACAGAAAAACTACACAGAAGCTTTCTGAGAAACTTATTTGTATTGTGTGCATTCATCTCACAGAGCTGAACATTTCTTTTGATAGAGCAGTTTGGAAACATTGTTTTCTTAGAATCTCCAAGAAGATATCTGGAGTGCTTTGAGGTTTATCGTGGAAAAGGAAATACCTTCACATAAAAACTACACAGAAGCATTCTGAGAAACTACTTTGTGATGTGTGCATTCATCTCACAAAGTTGAACCTTCCTTTTATTTGAGCAGTTGGAAACACTCTTTTTGTAGTATCTGCAAGTGGATACTTGGAGTGCTTTGTGGCCTATGGTGGAAAAGGAAATCTATTCATATGAAAACTACACTGAAGTATTCTGAGCTACTTCTTTGTGATGTGTGAATTCATCTCACAGAGTTGAAACTTTCTTTTGATTGAGCAGTTTGCAAACACTCTTTTTGTAAAATCTGCATTGTATTTTTGGAGTGCTTTGAGGCCTATTGGGGAAAAGGAAATAACTTCACATGAAAACCACACAGAAGCATTCTGAGAAACTTCTTTGTGATGTGTGCATTCCACTCACAGAGTTGAACCTTTCTTTTGATTGAGCAGTATTGATTCTCTCTTTTTGTGGAATCTGCAATTGGATATTTGGAGCCCTTGTCTATTTTGGAAAAGGAAATATTTTCACATAAAAACTACAGAGAAGCATTCTGAGAAACTTCTTTGTGATGTGTGCATTCCACACACAGAGTTGAACCTATCTTTGGATTGAGCAGCTTTGAATGTCTATTTTTGCGGAATCTGCAAGTGCATGTTTTGATTCCTTTGCTGCTTATTTTGGAAAAGGAAATATCTTCACCTAAAAACTACACAGAAGCATTCTGAGAAACTGCTTTGTGATGTGTGCATTCATCTCACAGTGTTGAACCTTTATTTTGATTGAGCAGATTGTGAGCACTCTTTTTATAGAATCTGCAAGTGGAAAATGAAGTGCTTTGAGGCCTATTGTGGAAAAGGAAATCTTTTCACAGAAAAACTACCCAGAAGCACTCTGAGAAACTTCTTTGTGATGTGAGCATTCATGTCACAGAGTTGAACCTTTCTTTTGATTGAGTAGTTTAGAAACACTCTTTTTGTAGAGTCTGCAAGTGGATATCTGGAGTGCTTTGAGGCCTATCATGGAAATGGAAATATCTTCACATAAAAACTAGACAGAAGCATTCTGAGAAACTACTTTGCGATGTGTGCATTCATCTCACAAAGTTGAACCTTCCTTTTATTTGAGCAGTTGGACACACTATTTTTGTAGTATCTGCAAGTGGATACTTGGAGTGCTTTGTGGCCTATGGTGGAAAAGGAAATCTATTCATATGAAAACTACACTGAAGTATTCTGAGCAACTTCTTTGTGATGTGTGAATTCAACTCACAGAGTTGAAACTTTCTTTTGATTGAGCTGTTTGCAAACACTCTTTTTGTAAAATTTGCAATGTATTTTTCGAGTGCTTTGAGGCCTATTGGGGAAAAGGAAATAACTTCACATGAAAACCACACAGAAGCATTCTGAGAAACTTCTTTGTGATGTGTGCATTCCACTCACAGAGTTGAACCTTTCTTTTGATTGAGCAGTATTGATTCTCTCTTTTTGTGGAATCTGCAATTGGATATTTGCAGCCCTTGTCTATCTATTTTGGAAAAGGAAATATGCTCACATAAAAACTACAGAGAAGCATTCTGAGAAACTTCTTTGTGATGTGTGCATTCCACACACAGAGTTGAACCTATCTTTGGATTGAGCAGCTTTGAATGTCTATTTTTGCGGAATCTGTAAGTGCATATTTTGATTCCCTTGCTGCTTATTTTGGAAAAGGAAATATCTTCACCTAAAAACTACATAGAAACATTCTGAGAGACTTCTTTGTGATGGGTGCATTCATCTCACAGTGTTGAACCTTTATTTTGATTGAGCAGATTTCGAACACTCTTTTTAAAGAATATGCAAGTGGAAACTTGAAGCACTTTGAGGACTATTGTGGAAGAGAAAATATTTTCACAGAAAAAGTACCCAGAAGCGTTCTGAGAAACTTCTTTGTGATGTGTGCATTCATGACACAGAGTTGAACCTTTCTTTTGATTGAGTAGTTTGGAAACACTCTTTTTGTAGAGTCTGCAAGTCGATATTGGGAGCGCTTTGATTCATATGGTGGAAAAGTATATATCTTCACATAAAAACTACACAAAGCATTCTGAGAAACTTCTCTGTGATGTGTGCATTCATCTCACAGCGTTGAACCTGTCTTTTGATTCAGTAGTTTTGAAAAACTCTTTTTGAAGAATCTGCAATTGGAAACTTGAAGCGCTTTGATGCCTATTGTGGAAAAGGAAATATCTTCACATAAAAACTACACAGACGCATTCTGAGAAACTCTTTGTGATGTGTGCATTCAATTCACAGAGGTGAATCTATCTTTTGATTGACAAGTTTTGAATCTCTGTTTTTGTAGAATCTGCAAGTGGATATTTTGAGCCCTTCTTGCCTTTTTGGAAAAGGAAATAAGTTCACATAAAAACTACACAGAAGCATTCTGAGAAACTTCTTTGTGATGAGTGCATTCATCTTACAGAGTTGAAACTTTCTTTTGATTGAGCAGTTTTGAAAGACTCTTTTTGTAGTATCTGCAAGTGAATATTTGGAGCGTTTTGATGCCTACTGTGGAAAGGAAATATCTTCACATAAAAACTACACAGAAGCATTTTGAGAAAGTTCTTCATGATGTTTGCATTCATCTCACAGTGCTGAACCTATCTTTTGATTGAGCAGTTTGGAATCACTCTTTTTGTAGAATGTGCAACTGAAAATATGGAGAGTTTTGAGGACTGTGGTGGAAAAGGAAATATCTTCACATAAAAACGACACAGAAGCATTCTGAGAAACTTCTTTGTGATGTGTGCATTCAACTCAGAGAGGTGAACCTATCTTTTGATAGAGCAGTTTTGAACCTCTCTTTTTCTAGGCTCCGCAAGTGGATATTTGGAGCCATTTGCGGCCTATGGTGGAAGAGCAAATATCTTCACATAAAAACTACACAGAAGCATTGTGAGAAACTTCTCTGAGATGTGTGCATTCTTCTCACAGAGTTGAAAATTTATTTGATTGAGCATTTTTGAAACACCCTTCTTGTAGAATCGGCAAGTGGGTATTTGGAGCACTTTGAGACCTATTGTGGAAAACAAAATCTCTTCACATAAAAACTGCACAGAAGCTTTGTGAGGAACTTCTTTGTGTTGTGTGCATTCATCTCACAGAGTTGAACCTTTCTTTTGACAGAGCAGTTTGGAAACACTCTTTTTTCAGAATCTCCAAGTGGATATTTTGAGTGCTTTGAGGCCTATCATGGAAAAGGAAATATCTTCACATGAAAACTACACAGAAGCATTCTGAGAAACTACTTTGTGATGTGTGCAATCATCTTACAAAGTTGAAACTTTCTTTTATTTGAACAGTTGGAAACATTCTTTTTGTAGTATCTGCAAGTGGATAATTGGAGCGCTTTGTGGCCTATGGTGGAAAAGGAAATCTCTTCACATAAAAACTACACAGAAACATTCCGAGCAACTTCTTTGTGATGTGTGCATTCAACTCACAGAATTGAACCTTTCTTTTGATTAAGCAGTTTACAAACACTCTGTTTGTAGAATCTGCAATGTTTTATTGGAGTGCTTTGAGGCCTTTGGGGAAAAGGAAATATCTTCACGTGAAAACCACACAGAAGCACGTTGAGAAGCTTCTTGGTGATGTCTGCATACCATTCACAGAGTTGAACCTTTCTTTTGATATAGCAGTTTTGATTCTCTCTTTTTTTGTGGAATCTGCAATTGGATATTTGAAGCCCTTGGCTACCTATTTTGGAAAAGGAAATATCTTTACATAAAAACTACAGAGAAACATTCTGAGAAACTTCTCTGTGATATGTGCATTCATCTCACAGTGTTGAACCTTTATTTTGATTGAGCAGATTGTGAACACTCTTTTTACAGAATCTGCAAGTGGAAAATGAAGCGCTTTGAGGCCTATTGTGGAAAAGGAAATCTTTTCACAGAAAAACTACCCAGAAGCGTTCTGAGAAACTTCTTTGTGATGTGTGCATTCATGACACAGAGTTGAACCTTTCTTTTGATTGAGCAGTTTGGATACACTCTTTTTGTAGAGTCTTGAAGTGGATATCTGGAGTGCTTTGAGGCCTATCGTGGAAAAGGAAATATCTTCACATAAAAACTAAACAGAAGCATTCTGAGAAACTTCTCTGTGTTGTGTGCATTCATCTCGCAGCGTTGAACCTGTCTTTTGATTGAGAAGTTTTGAAACACTCTTTTTGAAGTGTCTGCAAGTGGAAACTTGAAACACTTTGATGGCTACTGTGGAAAATAAAATATCTTCACATAAAAACTACACAGAAGCACTCTGAGAAACTCTTTGTGATGTGTACATTCAACCCACAGAGGTGAATCTATCTTTCAATTGACCAGCTTTGAAACTTTGTTTTTGTAGAAACTGCAAGTGGATATTTTGAGCCCTTCTTGCCTTTTTGGAAAAGGAAATAAGTTCACATAAAAACTACACAGAAGCATTCTGAGAAACTTCTTTGTGATGAGTGCATTCATCTCACACAGTTGAAACTTTCTTTTGATTCAGCAGTTTCAAACACTCTTTTTGTAGAATCTGCAAGTGGATATTTGGAGAGCCTTGAAGCCCATTGTGGAAAAGGAAATATCTCCACATATCAACTACAAAGAAGCATTCTGAGGACTTCTTTATGATGTGTGAATTAATCTCAGAGACTTGAACCTTTCTTTTGATTGAGTAGTTTTGAAACAATCTTTTTGTATAATCTACAAGTGGATATTTTGAGCACTTAGAGTCCTATTCTGGAAAAGGAAATATCTACACATGTAAACTACATAGAAGCATTCTCAGAATCTTCTTTGTGATGTGTGCATTCAACTCACAGAGTTGAACATTTCTTTTGATTGAGCACTTTTAAAACACTCTTTTTAAAGTATCTGCAAGTGGATATTTGGAGCGCTTTGAGGCTTATTTTGGAAAAGGAAATATCTACACATAAAAACTACACAGAAGCATTCTCAGAAATTTCTTTGTGATGAGTGCATTCATTTCACAGAGTTGAAAATTTCTTTGATTGAGCTGTTTGGAATCAGTCTTTGTAGAATCTGCCACTGGATATTTGGAGCTCTTCGAGACCCATGGTGGAAAAGGAAATATCTTCACATAAAAACTACACAGAAGCATTATAAGAAACATCTTTGAGATGTGTGCATTGAATTCAAAGAGTTCAAACTTTCTTCTTTTGACTGATCAGTCTTGAAACATTATTTTTATATAATCTGCAAGTGGATATTTGGTGCACTTTGTGGCCTACAGTGGAAAAGGAAATATCTTCACATAAAAACTAGAAGGAAGGAGGAGCCAAGATGGCCAAATAGGAACAGCTCCGATCTACAGCTCCCAGTGTGAGCAATGCAGAAGATGGTGATTTCTGCATTTCCATCTGAGGTACCGG
This sequence comes from Homo sapiens, assembly GCF_000001405.40. NCBI lineage: Eukaryota > Metazoa > Chordata > Mammalia > Primates > Hominidae > Homo > Homo sapiens. The sequence goes on along the minus strand of NC_000003.12, from coordinate 90,388,351 downwards.
GTTCATCTCACTAGGGAGTGCCAGAGAGTGGGTGCAGCTCAGTGGGTGCATGGACCATGCGTGAAGTGAAGCAGGGTGAGACATTGCCTCACTTGGGAAGTGCAAGTGGTCAGGGAGTTCCCTTTCCGAGTCAAAGAAAGGGGTGACGGACGGCACCTGGAAAATCCGGTCACTCCCACCCGAATACTGTGCTTTTCTGATGGACTTAAAAAACGGCGCACAAGGAGATTATATCCCACACCTGGCTAGGAGGGTCCTACGCCCACAAAGTCTCGCTGATTGCTAGCACAGCAGTCTGAGATCAAACTGCAAGGTGGCAGCGAGGCTGGAAGAGGGGCACCCGCCATTGCCCAGGCTTGCTTAGGTAAACAAAGCAGCCAGGAAGCTCGAACTGGGTGGAGCCTACCACAGCTCAAGGAGGCCTGCCTGCCTCTATAGGCTCCACTTCTGGGGGCAGAGCACAGGCAAACAAAAAGACAGCAGTAACCTCTGCAGACTTAAATGTCCCTGTCTGACAGATTTGAAGAGAGCAGTGGTTCTCCCAGCATGCAGCTGGAGATCGGAGAATGGGCAGACTGCTTCCTCAAGTAGGTCCCTGACCCCTGATCCCCAAGCAGCCTAACTGGGAGGCACCTCCCAGCAGGGGCACACTGACATTTCACACAGCAGGGTATTCCAACAGACCTGCAGCTGAGGGTCCTCTCTGTTAGAAGGAAAACTAACAAACAGACAGGACATCCACACCAAAAACCCATCTGTACATCACCATCATCAAAGACCAAAAGTAGATAAAAACACAAAGATGGGGAAGAAACAGAACAGAAAAACTGGAAACTCTAAAAAGCAGAGCACCTCTCCTCCTCCAAAGGAACGCAGTTCCTCACCAGCAATGGAAAAAAGCTGGATGGAGAATGACTTTGAGGAGCTGAGAGAAGAAGGCTTCAGATGATCAAATTAGTCTGAGCTCTGGGAGGACATTCAAACCGAAGGCAAAGAAGTTGAAAACTTTGAAAAAAATTTAGAAGACTGTATAACTAGAATAACCAATACAGAGAAGTGTTTAAAGGAGCTGATGGAGCTGAAAACCAAGGCTCGAGAACTACATGAAGAATGCAGAAGCCTCAAGAGCTGATGCAATCAACTGGAAGAAAGGGTAACAGCGGTGGAAGATGAAATGAATGCAATGAAGCGAGAAGGGAAGTTTAGAGAAAAAAGAATAAAAAGAAATGAGCAAAGCCTCCAAGAAATATGGGACTATGGGAAAGACGAAATCTACATCTGATTGGTGTACCTGAAAGTGACGGGAGAATGGAACCAAGTTGGAAAACACGCTGCAGGATATTATCCAGGAGAACTTCCCCAATCTAGCAAGGCAGGCCAATATTCAGATTCAGGAAATACAGAGAACACCACAAAGATACTCCTCGAGAAGAGCAACTCCAAGACACATAATTGTCAGATTCACCAAAGTTGAAATGAAGGAAAAAATGTTAAGGGCAGCCAGAGAGAAAGGTCGGGATAACCTCAAAGGGAAGCCCATCAGACTAACAGCAGATCTCTCGGCAGAAACCCTACAAGCCAGAAGACAGTGGGGGCCAATATTCAACATTCTCAAAGAAAAGAATTTTCAACCCAGAATTTCATATCCAGCCAAACTAAGCTTCATAAGTGAAGGAGAAATAAAATACTTTACAGACAAGCAAATGCTGAGAGATTTTGTCACCACCAGGCCTGCCCTAAAAGAGCTCCTGAAGGAAGCGCTAAACATGGAAAGGAACAACCGGTACCAGCCGCTGCAAAATCATGCCAAAATGTAAAGACCATCAAGACTAGGAAAAAACTGCATCAACTAACGAGCAAAATAACCAGCTAACATCATAATGACAGGATCAAATTCACACATAACAATATTAACTTTAAATATAAATGGACTAAATTCTGCAATTAAAAGACACAGACTGGCAAATTGGATAGTCAAGACCCATCAGTGTGCTGTATTCAGGAAACCCATCTCATGTGCAGAGACACACATAGGCTCAAAATAAAAGGATGGAGGAAGATCTACCAAGCAAATGGAAAACAAAAAAAGGCAGGAGCCGATAACATAGACTTTAAATGAACAAAGATCAAAAGAGACAAAGAAGGCCATTACATAATGGTAAAGGGATCAATTCAACAAGAAGAGCTAACTATCCTAAATATATATGCACTCAATACAGGAGTACCCAGACTCATAAAGCAAGTCCTCAGTGGCCTACAAAGAGACTTAGACGCCCACACATTAATAATGGGAGACTTTAACACCCCACTGTCAACATTAGAGAGATCAACGAGACAGAAAGTTAACAAGGATACCCAGGAATTGAACTCAGCTCTGCACCAAGCGGACCTAATAGACATCTACAGAACTCTCCACCTCAAATCAACAGAATATACATTTCTTACAACACCACACCACACCTATTCCAAAATTGACCACATAGTTGGAAGTAAAGCTCTCCTCAGCAAATGTAAAAGAACAGAAATTATAACAAACTATCTCTCAGACAACAGGGCAATCAAACAAGAACTCAGGATTAAGAATCCCACTCAAAATTGCTCAATTACATGGAAACTGAACAACCTGCTCCTGAATGACTACTGGGTACATAACGAAATGAAGGCAGAAATAAAGATGTTCTTTGAAACCAACGAGAACAAAGACAAAACATACCAGATTCTCTGGGATGCATTCAAAGCAGTGTGTAGAGGGAAATTTATATCACTAAATGCCCACAAGAGAAAGCAGGAAAGATCCAAAATTGACACCCTAAAATCACAATTAAAAGAACTAGAAAAGCAAGAGCAAACACATTCAAAAACTAGCAGAAGGCAAGAAATAATTAAAATCAGAGCAGAAATGAAGGAATTAGAGACATAAAAAACCCTTCAAAAAATTAATGAATCCAGGAGCTGGTTTTTTGAAAGGATCAACAAAATTGATGGACCGCTAGCAAGACTAATAAAGAAAAAAAGAGATAAGAAACAAATAGACACAATAAAAAATGATAAAGGGGATATCACCACCGATCCCACAGACATACAAACTACCATCAGAAAATACTACAAACACCTCTACGCAAATAAACTAGAAAATCTAGAAGAAATGGATAAATTCCTCAACACATACACTCTCCCAAGACTAAACCAGGAAGAAGTTGAATCTCTGAATAGACCAATAACAGGATCTGAAATTGTGGCAATAATCAATAGCTTACCAACCAAAAAGAGTCCAGGACCAGATGGATTCACAGCCGAATTCTACCAGAGGTACAAGGAGGAACTGGTACCATTCCTTCTGAAACTATTCCAATCAATAGAAAAAGACGGAATCCTCCCTAACTCTTTTTATGAGGCCAGCATCATTCTGATACCAAAGCCGGGCAGAGACACAACAAAAAAAGAGAATTTTAGACCAATATCCTTGATGAAAATTGATGCACAAAGCCTCAATAAAATACTGGCAAATGGAATCCAGCAGCACATCAAAAAGCTTATTCACCATGATCAAGGGAGCTTCATCCCTGGTATGCAAGGCTGGTTCAATATACGCAAATCAATAAATGTAATCCAGCATATAAACAGAGCCAAAGACAAAAACCACATGATTATCTCAATAGTTGCAGAAAAGGTCTTTGACAAAATTCAACAATGCTTCATGCTAAAAACTCACAATAAATTAGGTATTAATGGGATGCATTTCAAAATAATAAGAGCTATCTATGACAAACCCACAGCCAATATCATACTGAATGGGCAAAAACTGGAAGCATTCCCTTTGAAAACTGGCACAAGACAGGGATGCCCTCTCTCACCACTCCTATTCAACATAGTGTTGGAAGTTCTGGCCAGGTCAATTAGGCAGGAGAAGGAAATAAAGGGTATTCAATTAGGAAAAGTGGAAGTCAAATTGTCCCTGTTTGCAGATGACATGATTGTATATCTAGAAAACCCCATTGTCTCAGCCCAAAATCTCCTTAAGCTGATAAGCAAATTCAGCAAAGTCTCAGGATACAAAATCAATGTACCAAAATCACAAGCATTCTTACACACCAACAACAGACAAACAGAGAGCCAAATCATGAGTGAACTGCCATTGACAATTGCTTCAAAGAGAATAAAATACCTAGGAATCCAACATACAAGGGATGTGAAGGACCTCTTCAAGGAGAACTACAAACCACTGCTCAAGGAAGTAAAAGAAGATACAAACAAATGGAAGAACATTCCATGCTCATGGGTAGGAAGAATCAATATCATGAAAATGGCCATACTGCCCAAGGTAATTTACAGATTCAATGCCATCCCCAATAAGCTACCAATGACTTTCCTCACAGAATTGGAAAAAAATACTTTAAAGTTTATATGGAACCAAAAAAGAGCCTGCATTGCCAAGTCAATCCGAAGCCAAAAGAACAAAGCTGGAGTCATCACACTACCTGACTTCAAACTATACTACAAGGCTTCAGTAACCAAAACAGCATGTTACTGGTACCAACACAGAGATATAGATCAATGGAAAAGAACAGAGCCCTCAGAAATAATACCACATATCTACAACTATCTGATCTTTGACAAACCTGAGAAAAACAAGCAATGGGGAAAGGATTCCCTATTTAATAAATGGTGCTGGGAAAACTGGCTAGCCATAAGTAGAAAGCTGAAACTGGATCCCTTCCTTACACCTTATACAAAAATCAATTCAAGATGGATTAAAGACTTAAATGTTAGACCTAAAACCATAAAAACCCTAGAAGAAAACCTAGGCATTACCATTCAGGACAGGCATGGGAAAGGACTTCATGTCTAAAACACCAAAAGCAATGGCAACAAAAGACAAAATTGACAAATGGGATCTAATTAAACTAAAGAGCTTCTGCACAACAAAAGAAACTACCATCAGAGTGAACAGGCAACCTACAAAATGGGAGAAAATTTTTGCCACCTACTCATCTAACAAAGGGCTAATATCCAGAATCTACAATGAACTCAAACAAATTTACAAGAAAAAAACAACCCCATCAAAAAGTGGTTGAAGGATATGAACAGATACTTCTCAAAAGAAGACATTTATGCAGCCAAAAAACACATGAAAAAATGCTCATCATCACTGGCCATCAGAGGAATGCAAATCAAAACCACAATGAGATACCATCTCACGCCAGTTAGAATGGCAATCATTAAAAAGTCAGGAAACAACAGTTGCTGGAGAGGATGTGGAGAAATAGGAACACTTTTACACTGTTGGTTGGACTGTAAACTAGTTCGACCATTGTGGAAGTCAATGTGGCGATTCGTCAGGGATCTAGAACTAGAAATACCATTTGACCCAGCCACTCCATTACTGGGTATATACCCAAAGGACTATAAATCATGCTGCTATAAAGACACATGCACACATATGTTTATTGCGGCATTATTCACAATAGCAAAGATTTGGAACCAACCCAAATGTCCAACAACGATAGACTGGATTAAGAAAATGTGGCACATATTCACCATGGAATACTATGCAGCCATAAAAAATGATGAGTTCATGTCCTTTGTAGGGACATGGATGAAATTGGAAATCATCATTCTCAGTAAACTATCGCAAGAACAAAAAACCAAACACCGTATATTCTCACTCATAGGTGGGAATTGAACAATGAGATCACATGGACACAGGAAGGGGAATATCACACTCTGGGGACTGTGGTGGGGTTGGGGGAGGGGGGAGGGATAGCATTGGGAGATATACCTAATGCTAGATGACGAGTTAGTGGGTGTAGCACACCAGCATGGCACATGTATAACTATGTAACTAACCTGCACAATGTGCACATGTACCCTAAAACTTAAAGTATAAAAAAAGAAGTTAGAAGGAAGTATTCAGAGAAACTTCTTTGTGATGTGTGCATTCATCTCACAGAGTTAAACCTTTGTTTTTTTTGAGCAGTTTTGAAAAACCCTTTTTGACGAGTCTGCAGGTGGATATTTGGAGCGCTTTGAGTCCTATGGTGGAAAAGGAGATATCTTCACATGAAAACTAGAGAGAAGCCTTCTGAGAAACTTCTTTGTGATAAGTGCACTCAACTGACAAAGTTGAACCATTCTTTTCATTGAGCAGTTTGGAAACAGTCTTTTGTAGTATCGGCTAATGGATATTTGGAGCGCTTTGAGCCCTATAGTGGAAAAGCAAATAACTTCACATAAAAACTAAACAGAAGCATTCTGAGAAACTGCTTTTTGGTGTGTGCATTCAACTCAGGAATTTGAATATTTGTTTTGATTGAGCAGTTTTGAAACACACTTTTTGTAGAATCTACAAGTGCATATTTTGAGTGCTTTGCGGTCTGTAGTGGAAAAGGAAATATCTTCACATAAAAACCAGACAGAAGCATTGTGAGAAAATTTTTGTGATATGTGCATTCATTTCACAGAGTTGAATCTTTCTTTTAATAGAGCAGGATTGAAGCACTCTATTTGCAGAATCTTCAAGGGGATATTTTGAGTGCTTTAAGGCCTATGGTGAAAAAGGAAATATTTTCACATAAAAACTAGACAGAAGCATTCTGTGAAATTTCATTGTGATGTGCGCATTCAACTCACAGAGGTGCACCTTTCTTTTGATGGAGCAGTTTTCAAGGAGTCTTTTTTAGTATGTTCTAATGTATATTTTGATTGCTTTGAGGGCCCTAATGGAAAAGGAAATATCTTCAAGTAAAAATTAGACAAAAGCATTGTGAGAAACTTCTTTGTGATGAGTGCATACAACTTACAGAGTTGAACCTATCTTTTGATTGTGCAGTTTGGAAAAGTATTTTTCTAGTATCTGCAAGTGGATATTTGGAGGGCTTTGAGGCCTATAGTGGAAAAGGAAATATCTTCACATAAAAACTAGACAGAAGCTTTCTGGGAAATTTCCTTGTGATGTGTGCATTCAACTCACAGAGTTGCATATTTCCTTTGATGGAGCATTTTGGAAAGAGTCTTTTTTAGTATGCTCAAATGCATATTTGGAGCGCTTTGAGTTCTATAGTGTAAAAGAAAATACATTCAAATAAAAATTAGACAAAAGCATTATGAGAAACTTCTTTGTGATATGTGCATTCATGTCACAGAGTTGAACCTTTCTTTTGACTAGACAGTTTTGAAACACTCTTTTTGTAGAATCTGCAGGTGGATATTTGGTGCCCTTTGAGGCCTACAGGGGAAAAGGAAATATCTTCACATAAAAACTAGACAGAAGCATTCTGACAAACTTCTTTGTGATGTGTGCATTCAACTCACGGAGTTGCACCTTTCTTTTGATTGAGCAGTTTGGAAAAAGTCTTTTTGTACCATCTGCAAATGGATATTTGGAGAGCTTTGAGGCATAAGGTGGAAAGGGAAATATCTTCACATAACAACTATACAGAAGCATTCTCAGAAACTTATTTGTGATGTGTGCATTCACTTCACAGAGTTGAACATTTCTTTTCATTGAACAGTTTCGAAACACTGTTTTTGTAGGATCTGCAAGGGGATATTTAGAGCGCTTTGCGGCCTATAGTGGAAAAGGAAATATCCTCACATAAAAACCAGACAGAACCATTCTCAGAAACTTCCTTGTGATGTGTGCATTTATCTCAGATATTTAAAGGTTTCTTTTTATGGAGCAGTTTGGAAACAGTCTTTTTGTAGTATCTGTAGAGGGATATTTGTGACTGGTATAAGGCCTGTGGTGAAAATGGAAATATCTTCACATAAAAAAAAGACACAAGCATTCCGAGAAACTTCTTTGTGATGTGCACATTCATTTCACAGAGCTGAACATTTCTTTTGATTAAGCAGTTTGAAACAGACTTTTTGTAGAAATTGCAAGTGGATATTTGGAGTACTTTGAGGCATATTCTGTATAATGAACTATCTTCACATGAACGCTAGACAGAAGTATTCTTAGAAACTTCATTGTCATGTGTGCATTCAACTCACAGAGTTGAACATTTCTTTTGATTGACGAGTTTGGAAAGAGTCTTTTTGTCGTATTTGCAAGTGGATATTTGGAGCGCTTTGATGTGTATAGTGGGAAAGGAAATATCTTCACATAAAAATTAGACAGAAGCATTCTGAGAAACTTCTTTGTGATGTATGTATTTATCTCACAGTGTTGAAGGCTTCTTTGGATTGAGTAGTTCTGAAACACTCTTTTTGCAGAATCCGCAAGTGGATATTTGGAGCGTTTTGAGGCCTATCCTGAAAAAGGAAATATCTTCACATAAAAACTAGACAGAAGCATTCTGAGAAACTTCTTTGTTTGTGTGCATTCACCTCACAGAGTTGAATCTTTCCTTTGATTGAGCAGTTTGGAAAAAGTCTTTTTGTAGTATATGCAAATGGATATTTGAAGTGCTTTGAGTGCTATATTGGAAAAGGAAATATCTTCATATACAAACCAGACAGAAGCATTCTGAGAAACTTATTTGTGATGTGTGCATTCATATCACAGAGTTGAACCTTTGTTTTGATTGAGCAGTTTTGAAACACTGTTTTTGTAGGATTTGCAAGTGGATATTTGGAGCGTTCTGAGGCTTATGTTGGAAAAGGAAATATCTTTACATAAAAACTAGACAGAAGCATTCTGAGACACTGCTTTGTGATGTGTGTATTCAACTCACAGATTTGAACTTTTCGTTTGATTGAGCAATTTGGAAACAGTTTTTTTGTAGTGTCTGCAAATGGATATTTGGAACGTTTTGAGGCTTGTAGTGGATATGTAAATATCTTCCCATAAAAACTAGACAGAAGTATTCTGATAAACTTCTTTGTGATGTGTGCATTCATCCCACACACTTGAACCTGTTTTTGATTGAGCAGTTTTGAGACATTCTTTTTGTAGAATCTACAAGTGGGTTTTTGGAGCGCTTTTCCACCTATGGTGGAAAAGGAAATATCTTCACATAAATACTGGCCAACAGCATTCTGAGAAACGTTTTTGTGATGTGTTCATTCATCTCACAGAGTTCAACCTTGCTTTTGATTGAGCAGATTTGAAACACACTTTTTGTAGAATCTGAAAGTGGATATTTGGAGTGATTTGAGGCCTTTGTTGGAAAAGGAAATATCTTCACATGAAAACTAGACAAAAGCATTCTAAGAAACTTCTTTGTGATGCGTGCATTCAACTCACAGAGCTGAATATTTCTTTTGATGGAGTAGTTTGGAAAGAGTCTTTTTTAGTATGTTCTAATTTATAGTTTTAGCGCTTTGAGGCCTATGGTGGAAAAGGAAATATCTTTACATAAAAACTAGACAGAAGCCCTCTCAGAATCTTCTTTGTGATGTGTGTATTTATCTCACATAATTGAACCTTTATTTTGCTTGGGCAGATTTGAAACACTCTTTTTGTAGTATCTGCAAGTGGTTATTTGGAGCTCTGTGAGGCTTATGGTGGAAAAGGAAATATCTTCACATAAAAACTAGACAGAAGCATTCTGAAAATCTTATTTGTCATGTGTGCATTCAACTCACAAGTTGAACTTTTCTTTTGATTGAGCAGTTTGGAAAGTCTTTTTGTAGTATCTGCAAATGTATATTTCGAGCGCTTTGAGGCCTAGTGTGGAAAAGGAAATATCTTCACATACAAACTAGACAGAAGCATTCTAGGAAACTTCCTTGCGATGTGGTATTCGTGTCACAGAGCTGAATCTTTCTTTTGATTTGCAGTATTGAAAAAATTTTTTGTACAATCTGCAGATGGATATTTGAAGCGCTTTGCGGCCGATAGTGGAAAAGGAAATATCTTCACATGAAAACTATACTGAAGCATTCTGAGAAACTTCTTTTTGATGTGTGCATTCATCTCACAAGGTTGAACTTTTCTTTCGATTGGGCTGTTTTGAAACACTCTTTTTGTAGAATGTGCAGATGGATATTTGGGGAGCTTTGAGGCACTTGGTGAAAATGGAAATATCTTCACAAAAACTAGACAGAAGCATTCTGAGAAACTTTTTTGTCATGAGTGCATTCAACTCACAATGTTGAACCATTGTTTTGATTGAGCAGTTTGGAAAAAATTTTTTTGTAGTATCTTCAAATCGATATTTGGAGCGCTTTGAGCCATATAGTGGAAAAGGAAATATCTTCACATAAAAACTATACAGAAGCATCTGAGAAACTACTTTGTGATGTGTGCATTCATCCCACAGAGTTGAACATTTCTTTTGTTTGAGAAGTTTTGAAACACTCTTTTTGTAGAAACTACAAATGGATATTTAGAGCGCTTTGTGGCCTATAATGGAGAAGGAAATATCTTCACATAAAAACTAGACAGAAGCATTCTGAGAAACTGCATTGTTATGTTTGCATTCATTTCACAGAGTTGAACATTTCTTTTGATTGAGTAGTTTTGAAACTCTCTTTTTGTAGAATCTGCAAGTGGATATTTGGAGCGATTTGAGGCCTATTGATAAAGGAAATATCTTTATGTAAAAACTAGACAGAAGCATTCTGAGAAGCTTGTTTTTGATGTGTGCATTCAACTCACAGAGTTGAACCTATCTTTTGATGGAGCTGTTTGGAAAGAGTTTTTTTTAGTATGTTCTAATGTATATGTTGATCGCTTTGAGACCGCTATTGGAAAAGGAAATATCTTCACATAAAAATTAGACAAAAGCATTATGAGAAACTTCTTTGTGATGTGTGCATACTACTTACAGAGTTGAAGTTTTCCTTTGATTCAGCAGTTTGGAAACAGTCTTTTTGTAGTATCTGCAAGTGGATATTTGGAGTGCTTTGAGATCTATAGTGGAAAAGGAAATATCTTCACATAAAAATTAGACAAAAGCATTATGAGAAATTTCTTCTTGATGTGTGCATTCATGTCCCAGAGTTGAACATTTCTTTTGATTGGCCAGTTTTGAAACACTCTTTTTGTAGAATCTGCAAGTGTATATTTGGAGTGCTTTTCGGCATCCAGTGTAAAAGGTAATACCTTCACATAAAAAATACACAGAAGCATTACGAGAAACCTCTTTGTGATGTGTGCATTCATCTCACAGAGTTGAAACTGTCTTTTGATTGAGCTGTTTTGAAACACTCTTTTTGTAGAATCTGCAAATCTACATTTGGATTGTTTTGAGGCCTAAGGTGCAAAAGGAAATACCTTCACATAAAAACTATACAGAGGCATTCTGAGAAAGTTTTTGTGATGTGTGCTTTCAACTCAGAGTTGAACATTTCTTTTCTTTTTTAAATAGAAGCTAATTTGTTTATTAGATTTAGCCAACATAAAATTACTTTGTCAAATTTTTGTAAGAGTTTGTATATCTAACTTTATTTTTTTATATATTTAATACAATATTTTATTTTATTGTTTATTTTGTTATTATTATACTTTAAGTTTTAGGATATATGTGCACAATGTGCAGGTTAGTTACAAATATATACATGTGCCATGCTGGTGTACTGCACCCATTAACTCGTGATTTAGCATTAGGTATATCTCCTAAAGCTATGCCTACCCCCTCCCCCCACCACACAACAGTCCCCAGAGTGTGATGTTCACCTTCCTGTGTCCATATGCTCTTTCTTCAATTCCCACCTATGAGTGAGAATATGCTGTGTTTGGTATTTTGTTCTTGAAATAGTTTACTGAGAATGATGATTTCCAATGTCATCCATGTCCGTACAAAGGACATGAACTCATCGTTTTTTATGGCTGCATAGTATTCCATGGTGTATACATGCCACAATTTCTTAATCCAGTCTATCATTGTTGGACATTTGGGTTGGTTCCACGTCTTTGTTATTGTGAATAGCGCCCCAATAAACATATGTGTACATGTGTCTTTATATCATCATGATTTATAGCCCTTCGGGTATGTACCCAGTAATGGGATGGTTGGGTCAAATGGTATTTCTAGTACTAGGTCCCTGAGGACTCACCACACTGACTTCCACAAGGGTTTAACTAGTTTACAGTCCCACCAACAGTGCAAAAGTGTTCCTGTTTCTCCAAATCCTCTCCAGCACCTGTTGTTTGATGACATTTTAATGATTGCCATTTTAACTGGTGTGAGATGGTGTCTCATTGTGCTTTTGATTTGCATTTCTCTGATAACCAGTGATGGTGAACATTTTTTCATATGTTTTTTGGCTGCACAAATGTCTTCTTTTGAGAAGTGTCTGTTCATGTCCTTCGCCGACTTTTTGATGAGTTTGTTTGTTTTTTTCTTATAAATTTGTTAGAGTTCATTGTAGATTCAGGATATTAGCCCTTTGTCAGATGAGTAGGTTGTGAAAATTATCTTCCATTTTGTAGGTTGCCTGTTCACTCTGATGGTAGTTTCTTTTGCTGTGCAGAAGCTCTTTAGTTTCATTAGATCCCATTTGTCAATTTTGGCTTTTGTTTCCATTGCTTTTGGTGTTTTAGACATGAAGTCTTTGCCCATGCCTATGTCCTGAGTGGTAATGCCTAGGATTTCTTCTAGGGTTTTTATGGTTTTAGTTCTAACGTTTAAGTCTTTAATCCATCTTGAATTAATTTTTGTATAAAGTGTAAAGAAGGGATCCACTTTCAGGTTTCTACATATGGCTAGTCAGTTTTCCCAGCACCATTTATTAAATAGGGAATCCTTTCCCCATTGCTTGTTTTTCTCAGGTATGTCAAAGATCAGATAGTTGAAGATATGTGGCGTTATTTCTGAAGGCTCTGTTCTGTTCCATTGATCTATATCTCTGTTTTGGTACAAGTAACATGCTGTTTTTGTTACTGTAGCCTTGTAGTATAGTTTGAGGTCAGGTAGTGTGATGCCTCCGTCTTTGTTCTTTTGGCTTAGGATTGACTTGGTGATGTGGGATCTTTTTTGGTCCCATATGAACTGTAAAGTAGTTTTTTCCAATTCTGTGAGGAAAGTCATTCATAGCTCGATGGGGATGTCATTGAATCTGTAAATTGCCTTAGTCAGTATTGCCGTTTTCAAGATATTGATTATTCCTACCCATGAGCATGGACTGTTCTTCCATTTGTTTGTATCCTCTTTTATTTCATTGAGCAGTGGTTTGTAGTTCTCCTTGAAGAGGTCCTTCACATCCCTTGTAAGGTGGATTCCTAGGTATTTTATTCTCTTTGAAGCAATTGTCAATGGCAGTTCACTCATGATTTGGCTCTCTGTTTGTCTGTTATTTGTGTATAAGAATGCTTGTGATTTTGGTACATTGATTTTTGTATCCTGAGACATTGCTGAAGTTGCTTATCAGCTTAAGGAGATTTTGGGCTCAGGCAATGGGGTTTTCTAGATATACAATCATGTCATCTGCAAACAGGGACAATTTGACTTCCTCTTTTCCTAATTGAATATCCTTTATTTCCTTCTCCTGCCTAATTGCCCTGGCCAGAACTTCCAACCTATGTTGAATAGGAGTGGTGAGAGAGGGCATCCCTGTCTTGTGCCAGTTTTCAGAGGGAATGCTTCCAGTTTTTGCCCATTCAGTATGATATTGGCTGTGGCTTTGTCATAGACAGCTCTTATTATTTTGAGATACGTCCCATCAATACCTAATTTCTTGAGAATTTTTAGCATGAAGTGTTGTTGAAATTTGTCAAAGGCCTTTTCTACATCTATTGAGATAATCATGTGGTTTTTGTCTTTGGTTATGTTTATATGCTGGATTACATTTATTGATTTGCATATATTGAACTAGCGTTGCATTCCAGGAATGAAGCATACTTGATCATGGTGGATAAGCTTTTTGATGTGCTGCTGGATTCGGTTTCCCAGTATTTTATTGAGGATTTTTGTATCAATGTTCATCAAGGATATTGGTGTCAAATTCTCTTTTTTGGTTGTGTCTCTGCCCCGGCTTTGGTATCAGGATGATGCTGGCCTCATCAAATGAGTTAGGTAGGATTTCCTCTTTTTCTATTGATTGGAATAGTTTCAGAAGGAATGATACCAGTTCCTCCTTTTACCTCTGGTAAAATTCGATGTGAATCCATCTGGTCCTGGACTCTTTTTGGTTGGTAAGCTATTGATTATTGCCACAATTTCAGATCCTGTTATTGGTCTATTCAGAGATTCAACTTCTTCCTGGTTTAGTCTTGGGACAGTGTATGTGTCAAGGAATTTATCCATTTCTTCTAGACTTTCCAGTTTATTTGCATAGATGTGTTTGTATTTTTCTCTGATGGTGGTTTGTATTTCTGATGGATCGGTGGTGATATCCCCTTTATCAGTTTTTATTGTGTCTATTTAATTCTTCTCTCTTTTTTTCTTTATTAGTCTTGCTAGCAGTCTATCAATTTTGTTGATCCTTTCAAAAAACCAGCTCCTGGATTCATTAATTTTCTGAAAGGTTTTTGTGTCTCTATTTCCTTCAGTTCTGCTCTGATCTTAGTTATTTCTTGCCTTCTGCTAGCTTTTGAATGTGTTTGCTCTTGCTTTTCTGGTTCTTTTAATTGTGATGTTAGGGTGTCAACTTTGGATCTTTCCTGTTTTCTCTTGTGGGCATTTAGTGCTATAAATTTCCCTCTACACACTGCTTTGAATGTGTCCCAGAGATTCTGGTATGTTGTGTCTTCGTTCTCGTTGGTTTCAAAGAACATCTTTATTTCTGCTTTCATTTCGTTATGTATGCAGTAGTCATTCAGGAGCAGGTTGTTCAGTTTCCCTGTAGTTGAGCGGTTTTGAGTGAGTTTCGTAATCCTGAGTTCTAGTTTGATTGCACTGTGTTCTGAGAGATAGTTTGTTATAATTTCTGTTCTTTTACATTTGCTGAGGAGAGCTTTACTTCCAAATATGTGGTCAATTTTGCAATAAGTGTGGTGTGTTGCTGAAAAAAGTGTATACTCTATAGATTTGGGGTGGAGAGTTCTGTAGATGTCTATTAGGTCCGCTTGGTGCAGAGCTGAGTTCAATTCCTGGGTATCCTTGTTAACTCTCTGTCTCTTTGATCTGTCTAATATTGACAGTGGGGCATTAAAGTCTCCCATTATTATTGTGTGGGAGTCTAAGTCTCTTCATAGGTCACTCAGGACTTGCTTTATGAATCTGGGTGCTCCTGTATTGGGTGTATGTATTTAGTATACTTAGCTCTTCTTGTTGAATTGATCCCTTTACCATTATGTAATGGCCTTGCCTCTTTTGATTTTTGTTGGTATAAAGTCTATTTTATCAGAGACTAGGATATCAACCCCTGCCTTTTATTGTTTTCCATTTGCTTCGTAGATCTTCCTCCATCCTTTTATTTTAAGCCTATTTGCATCTCTGCATGTGAGATGGGTTTCCTGAATACAGCACACTGATGGGTCTTGACTCTTTATCCAATTTGATGATCTGTGTCTTTTAATTGGAGCATTCAGTCCATTTACATTTAAAGTTAATATTGTTATATGTGAATTTGATCCTGTCATTATGATGTTTGCTGGTGATTTTGCCTGTTAGTTGATGCAGTTTCTTCGTACTCTCGATGGTCTTTACATTGTGACATGATTTTGCAGTGGCTGGTACCAGTTGTTCCTTTCCATATTTAGGCCTTCCTTCAGGAGCTCTTTTAGGGCAAGCATGATAGTGACAAAATCTCTCAGCATTTGCTTGTCTGTAAAGGATTTTATTTCTCCTTCATTTATGATGCTTAATTTGGCTGTATTTGAAATTCTGGGTTGAAAATTATTTTCTTTAAGAATGTGGAATATTGGCCCCCAATCTCTTCTGGCTTGTAGAGTTTCTGCTGAGAGGTCCCCTGTTAGTCTGGTGGACTTCCCTTTGTGGGTGACCCGACCTTTCTCTCTGGCTGCCCTTAACATTTTTTCCTTCATTTCAACTTTGGTGATTTATAGCACTAAATGCCCACAAGAGAAAACAGGAGAGAACCAAAATTGACACCCTAATATCACAATTAAAAGAACTAGAAAAGGAAGAGCAAACACATTCAAAAGCTAGCAGAAGGCAAGAAACAACTAAAATCAGAGCAGAACTGAAGGAAATAGAGACACAAAAAACCCTTCAAAAAATTAATGAATCCAGAAGCTGGTGTTTTTAAAGGATCAACAAAATTGATAGACTGCTAGCAAGAATAAAAAAGAAAAAAAGAGAGAATAATCAAATAGAAACAATAAAAAATGATAAAGGGGATATCACTAC
Organism: Homo sapiens; assembly: GCF_000001405.40. Lineage (NCBI taxonomy): Eukaryota > Metazoa > Chordata > Mammalia > Primates > Hominidae > Homo > Homo sapiens. The sequence goes on along the minus strand of NC_000003.12, from coordinate 90,372,209 downwards.
CAATCACTCAAAACTACAAAGTACCATCAGAGATTACTGCAAACACGTCTATGCAAATAAACTAGAAACTCTAGAGGAAATGGATAAATTCCTCAACACATACACCCTCCCAAGACTAAACCAGGAAAAAGTTGAATCTCTGAATAGACCAATAACAGGATCTGAAATTGTGGCAATAATCAATAGCTTACCAACCAAAAAGAGTCCAGGACCAGATGGATTCACAGCCGAATTTTACAAGAGGTAAAATGAGGAATTGGTACCAATCCTTCTGAAACTATTCCAATCAATAGAAAAAGAGGGAATCCTCCCTAACTCATTTGATGAGGCCAGCATCATCCTGATACCAAAGCCGGGCAGAGACACAACCAAAAAACAGAATTTTAGACCAATATCCTTGATGAACATTGATGCAAAAATCCTCAATAAAATACTGGCAAAACGAAACCAGCAGCACATCAAAAAGCTTATCCACCATGATCAAGTGTGCTTCATCCCTGGGACGCAAGGCTGGTTAAATATATGCAAATCAATTAATGTAATCCAACATATAAACATAACCAAAGACAAAAACCACATAATTATCTCAATAGATGCAGCAAAGGCCTTTGACAAAATTCAACAACGCTTCATGCTAAAAACTCTCAAGAAATTAGGCATTGATGGGACGTATCTCAAAATAATAAGAGCTATCTATGACAAAGCCACGGCCAATATCATACTGAATGGGAAAAAACTGGAAGCATTCCCTTTGAAAACTGGCACAAGAGAGGGATGCCCTCCCAAACCACTCCTATTCAACATAGTGTTAGAAATTCTGGCCAGGTCAATTAGGCAGGAGAAGGAAATAAAGGGTATTCAATTAGGAAAAGGGGAGTCAAATTGTCCCTGTTTGCAGACGACATGATTGTATATCTGGAAAACCCCATTGTTTCAGCCCAAAATCTCCTTAAGCTGATAAGCAACTACAGCAAAGTCTCAGGATACAAAATCAATGTACCAAAATCACAAGCATTCTTATACACAAATAACAAACAGAGAGCCAAATCATGAGTGAAATCCCATTCACAATTGCTTCAAAGAGAATAAAATACCTAGGAATCCACCTTACAAGGGATGTGAAGGACCTCTTCAAGGAGAACTACAAACCACTGCTTAAGGAATTAAAAGAGGATACAAACAAATGGAAGAACATTTCACGCTCATGGGTAGGAAGAATCAATATCGTGAAAATGACCATACTGCCCAAGTTAATTTATGGATTCAATGCCATCCCCATCAAGCTACCAATGGCTTTCTTCACAGAATTGGAAAAAACTACTTTAAAGTTTATATGGAACCAAAAAAGATCCCACATCACCAAGTCAATCCTAAGCCAAAAGAACGAAGTTGGAGGCATCACCCTACCTGACTTCAAACTATACTACAAGGCCACAGTAACCACAATAGCATGGTACTGGTACCAAACAGAGATATAGATCAATGGAACAGAACAGAGCCCTCAGAAATAACGCTGCATATCTGCAACTATCTGATCTTTGACACACCTGAGAAAAACAAGCAATGGGGAAAGGATTCCCTATTTAATAAATGGTGCTGGGAAAACTGACTAGCCATATGTAAAAAGCTGAAAGTTGATCCCTTCCTTACACCTTATACAAAAATTAATTCAAGATGGATTAAAGACTTAAACATTAGACCAAAAACCATAAAAACCCTAGAAGAAAACCTAGGCATCACCATTCAGGACATAGGCATGGGCAAGGACTTCATGTCTAAAACACCAAAAGCAAGGGCAACAAAAGCCACAATTGACAAATGGGATCTAATTAAACTAAAGAGCCTCTACACAGCAAAATAAACTTCCATCAGAGTGAACAGGCAGCCTACAAAATGGGAGAAAATTTTTGCAACCTACTCATCTGACAAAGGGCTAATATCTAGAATCTACCATGAACTCAAACAAATTTACAAGAGAAAAACAATCACATCAAAAAGTGAGCACAGAAAATGAAGAGACAATTCTCAAAAGAAGACATTTGTGCAGCCAAAAAACATATGAAAAAATGTTCACCATCACTGACCATCAGAGAAATGCAATTCAAAACCACAATGAGATATCATCTCACATTAGTTAGAAT